>NC_000009.12:32282727-32434242 GCF_000001405.40 Homo sapiens | reverse complement strand
TCCTCACTTCTACTGCATCCCTTCCCACAGTGACCCACCCAGGAGAGCACCAACTTCTAGATCATCAGTTTCAGGGACAATGTCCCTGGTTTTTATGGGTATAAGGTTCACTATGGTGGGCTCTGGGGATGGTCTCCTGGGACAGTCCCTCAGACTCTACTAGGTTTAAGTCCAGGTGATTACTAGGGTGGCTGTGTACATCCACGCAGAACCCCTGCATAGAGAAACTATAGACCCACGGCAGCCAAATATCCCAGCCTCCCAAAACTTTCCCCAGCAGTATCTGCTTGGGTTTGCAAAGGGTTTAATAAAATGGGTAGTCAAAGCAAGAGCATGGGGTAATAAAGTAGATATTATTAGGAAAGAAACCCTTCAAAGAATTCATTTTGTTAAAAAATAAAAAGCCATACCAGGTTTTCAAAGAATGGTGGTGATTTGATATACGTAGATTTGGAATTCCAGAAAAACAGCTTATCTGATGGGGTTGCTAAGGCATTCCAGCTTTCATTCACAGTCTTAAAAAAGAAAAGAAAGGCAGATCTAATCACATCCCATTCCAGAGAAAATTTAATATGCAAACACAAAACATACATTCAAGCTAAAAGGTACACTAAGAACCATTTTTATTCTCAATAGCCACATACAAGAGTTCCTTTATACTAATAGTGGGTCATGCTAAGTAACTTAAAAATCCAGAGACACTGTGGGCTGGGCATGGTAGCTCACATCTATTAATCCCATTACTTAGGGAGGCTGAGGTGGGAGGATGGCTTGAGCCCAGCAGCTCAAGACCAGCCTGGGCAAGATGGCAAAACCATGTCTCTACAAAAATAAAAAAAAAATTGTCTGGGTGTGGTGGCATGTGCCTGTAGTCCGAGCTACTCGAGAGGCTGAGATGGGAGGATTGCTTGAGCTCAGGAATTTGAGGTGGCAGTGAGCTATGATGACACTACTGCACTCCAGCCTGGGTGACAAAGCAAGACCTGGTCTCTGAAAAACAAACAACAACATACATATGCACCGTGATAGGCAGCTTCTAGGATGGCAGGAGGGATCCTGCCTCCTGGGATTCACATCCTTAGTTGACCCCCTCCTGTTGAGTGTGGGCTGAAGCTAGTGACTATCTCCTAGATTAGATTATTGAGACCTGCCTTCTGACTCTCTTGCTCTCTTGCTCTGATGGAAGCCAGCTACCATGTGTGAGTCATGAAGAGACCCTCATAGCAAGGTGCTGAGGGAGGCTTCTAGCGAACAGCCAGTGAGAAACGGAGGACCTCAGTGCAACAGCCCTTGAGGAACTTGATCCTGCCAATAGCCACATGAGTGAGCCTAAGTGGACCCTCCTCCAGAGACTGCAGCCCCAGATGACATCTTACTGGAACCCTGTGAAAGTACACAGTGAAGCTGTGCCTGGATTCTTGACCCACAGAAAATGGGAGACAATATATGTTTGTTGTTTCAACTCACTATATCTATTGCTATATCACAGCAATAGATAACTAATGCATATGCTTATCAATAACTTATGAAATAATAATCCAGATTGTACCAAAGGGGAAATTACTCTCTGAGTGTTTTGGGAAGTGGCCTTCCAGGTCACACAAACACTGGGTAGCAAATGACAGCTGCTATGCATTAAAATTGGTTTGAATTCTGTCCACAGGTCCATTAACTCGGCCTTTGGAGGAAGGCATTTAACATAATGCCTGCCAAGCTCCCTAACACCATCTCCCAAGGAGCACCTTGTGAAGAGTGCAGCGTGTGAACATCACACCTACATCACCCCTTCCCCTAGACAGTTCTACCCTCATTTAAACCATCAGCCGCAGTCAGAAGCCCTTGGGTCAGCTGAATGCAGAAGGCGGGGAAAGGAATAATATCCAAGAGTCTCAGAATATAATGCTGAGCCCCACACATTTCCTCCTATTTGTAAAATGCACGGAAAGTTTTATTTCAGTAGTTTGGCACTTCCTACTGAGTGGCCTTAATTTCTTTATTTTTAAGTGTGCAAAAATGCATTCTGAGAGGTGCATTCGACCAATGGACTCCACTTAGTGACACAATATAGTGACCACCAGGGGTCCTCGCCACAGCTGACACACACCCCTGGGTGTCCGAGAAAGGCGTGGGGTTTTGGAGAGCTGAACCTGAGGAGGCCTTTCTTCTCTAGGCTGTCACCAACTTGTCCAAATCTGGGAACATCTGGGGGAGGTGGGGTTTGTAAAAATGCGAGTCACAGGAGAAAAATGACGGAGAACCACCTCCCCAGTCATCTGAAGAAATAAATGTTACTTTATATAGTTTATACTTCCGTTAGCCTTGAGGTCTGCAGACAGGACACAAAGGGAGCAGCTTTCCCTTAGATCCTCTGGGGCGGGGAGGGCAGTGTGGGACCTCACCTCTATTTTCTGATAGACTTCCTTAAACATCCCCGGGATGACATACTGACGCTCCACTGCCTGGATCTCGTCTCTAGTCGGCCAGATATCTTTCAGAAATACCTGCTGTCCCTTTGCATTTACTCCTGGGGAAAAAATGTTTATTAATGAGAAAACTTTCTAATATGCAATTTTCATGATTATACAGAGTCAAGCCTCGTTCTCCTCGGTAGTTATGTTCTATAAAGCCCGTGTGAACACTGAATGACTGGATACGGAATCACTGCCACTGGAGGAAATACAGGGTTAGGTTCCTGCAAGCCTCTGGTCACCCATCAATACATAACCTTGCTTCATGTGAGGTTTATTATTCACCTTATTTAATAGCAATTGTTGACTCACTGACATTGAACTTCCAGCGAAGCCTATCTAAACACAGTACGCATCACAGTCGGCTTGTGCTCAAGAACACCAGAAGCACTTCAGGACTATGCTCAAGGACCATTTTGAACAGCAAAATCACCACAAAAAGCACAAAAATGCAAAAAGCATGGCACTACGTAGACCAAGAAAAGGATCCTTATATATCGCAGGAGAGCTGAAACAAGAAGTCAGAGTGACGCCTTATCAGATCTCAGCATAGAACGTGTGTGTTGAATGATATAAAGTTTTCACCCCTTTGTGCTGATCTGTGAATGACCGTGAACATACTACAAATACTGATTTGGGGGTTAAAATACATTTTAGTGACTACGCAAATCTGCAAACATAGAACTCACAAATAACGAGGATCAACTGTACGTCTAAAGTTATGATTTCCTAAAAGTAAATTTCAGAGGCATTGTTTTCATATTATCTATTCGGCTTAGAATAGATTGAGGCAGGCAGAGCAAGCAAGCTGATCTGGGGAAAGGAAATGATGTATCATTTCTTTGGAATTCTGAGAAGTTGAAATATCTGCAGTATGTTTCTACAGAGTATATATTGAAACAATGCCTATCATTAAAGTGAGAGCTAGAAAGGGAGGAACTACAGAAGAAACCAGAATAGCAAGATGTCTATTCCTTTTGGCACCTGTTTTCCTTTCGTTATCCTTTACCCTCAGTAGATTCTTGTTTTAACTACTGCAGTTAAGTCTTAGCTGTATATTGGGGAATAAAGAAATTATTCTCTTCTTTGTCTTATCCCTGGAGGCTCTATGCTTCATTTCTTATTAAGGAAAGCAGTTTCTTCTAGTAATATTTCTGAATTCACTGGAAAAAAATTATGGCTGCACAAACAAAATCTTACCCAATGGCTCTTTCTCAAAGTCGATTCTGATGGTTCCAGCAATTGCATATGCTATTACTAAGGGGGGAGAGGCTAAATAGTTGGCCCGGGTGTTGGGGTGAACTCGACCTTCAAAATTCCTGTTTCCAGATAGTACTCCAACAGCTACAAGGTCTCCCTGAGTAAGGCAAGAGAAAAATCAGGTCACTAAAAGATACTGACTAGGCTTCTTGTCTCAGACCATTGGCAAGAGTTTCCACATCGCAAGGATACAGTCCTTTAAGCTGCCCTTTCACTTGGTTCTCTCCCACTAGAGGGGAGAAGGGTACACTGGGGTGTCCCCATGGGAGATACTCTGGGTCAAAGGAAGCAGAGACATGTTTAGTGATTTCTGCTCACGAGAAAATATCAGGTAGTTAGAAGGCAACATACTAGTTATTGCTGCCTGGGGCCCAAGAACAGGTGGGAAAGACCTAACAGTTGATCGTTAAAGGAAGTCACAATGCACAATTATAGAATACGTAGATTCTATAATTAATGCAAAGCAAACCAAATAATATCTTTCAAGGTTCAGCATTTTGGGGATAAAAATCAAGCCAAAGCAATTTAGTTTAGATTCGTTTGTGTGGAGACTTGTCTCACTTTGAACCAATTTTCAAATTATTTGGGTTGGTGCAAAAGTAATTGTGGTCTTCATCACTGAAATGGCAAAAATCACAGTTACTTTTGCACTAACCCAATACCTATAACAAACAACTGTAGAGCCCTTTGTAGTGAAAACCAGCCAGTACTGAGCACTTGAGTGCCAGACACTGCACTAAGTGACTTATGTTTATCATCATCTTAATTCTCACAACTCTATAAAATAGATACTATTATCATCTCCAATATACAGTTGTGAAAACCCAGGCACAGATAGGTTAATTAACTTGCCCAAGGTTACCCAGCTAGTAATTTTAACTAAACTCAAAAGATCATACTCTAAACCACATCCCCTGCTTCCATGGACCTTCTTGAAAATATCAGCATTTTTGTCACATTACATGAAAAGAAACAACTGCTCTGAAGACCTGCAGGGACCTCTGCAATTACCTGTGTGATGGCTTCTACCACAGGTTCAGGTAAAGGCCCACTGTTGCCAATGCAGGTCATGCAGCCATAGCCCACCACGTCAAACCTAGACACCAAGAGAGAAGCACACACACACAAAAAAAGAATAACTTTCAGTGAGCCCTTCTGCTGGCCACAGTTTCCAGAGACCACTGTTCAAAAAGGAATTGCAGTGCATGAACTAAGTTCAGTATAGTGCTATTTCTAAAAGTTTCATTCTTGAGAGCATTCTGATATATAACATAAGAATACTATTCATATTTTTAACTTATAAAAAGGAATCAAATTGAATGAGCAACAATTTAAAAAAGTTGAAATCATATATGCCATATCTTCATTAACTACTATTATTGTATAATCCTAAGGAGATTTGAATTTTATGAGGCACATGAATAAAATATATGTCATAAGTCAGGAATAATATGGAAATTGGAGAAAGCGTATTTGGCAACGAATACATTCATGCACTGCACAATGTTTCTGTTAGTGATAGACCACATATACCCAAATGTATATGTGGTATATAGCTGAAAAATTCCTATCACCTAGTGATGTTGTAGCCATCGTGATGTCACAGTGCAAGGCATTTCTTGTTTATGATGATGCTGGTATAAACAAACTCACGCTGACTTTTTTTTTTTTGAGACGGAGTCTCGCTCTGTTGCCCAGGCTGGAGTGCAGTGGCGCTATCTCTGCTCACTGCAAGCTCCACCTCCCAGGTTCATGCCATTCTCCTGCCTCAGCCCCCCAAGTAGCTGGGATTACAGGTGCCCGCCACCACGCCCGGCTAATTTTGTTTTTTTGTATTTTCAGTAGAGACGGGGTTTCACCGTGTTAGCCAGGATGGTCTCGATCTCATGATCTCGTGATCTGCCTGCCTCAGCCTCCCAAAGTGCTGGGATTACAGGCATGAGCCACCGCGCCCAGCCATGCTGACTTTTTATTGTTCTTTTAGAGTGTACTCTTTTTGTTTATTAAAAAAAAAAGCAAACCAGTTAAGTGTAGAACAGCCTCAGGAAGGTTCTTCAGGAAGTATTCCAGGAGGCATTATTATCACAGGAGATGACAGCTCCATGGATGTTATTGCCCCTGAAGACCTTCCAGTGGGACAGATGTGGAGGTAGAAGACAGTAATACTGACAATCCTGACCCGGTGTAGGCCTAAAGTGTGTGTTTATCTCTTAGGTTTTTTTTTTTTTTTTTTGAGACAGGGTCTTGCTGTCACCCAAACTGGAGTACAGTGGCGTGATCATAGCTCACTGCAACCTCAAACTCCTGGGCTCAAGCCATCCTGCAGCCTCAGCCTCCCGAGAAGCTGGGACTACAGGCATGCACCACCATGCCTGGCTAATTGTTTTACATTTTTTTTTTTTGTAGAAACAGGGGTCCCACTATGTTGCCCTGGCTAGTTTCAAACTCCTGGCTTGAAGCAATCCTCTTGCCCTGGCCTCCCAAAGCACTGATATTACAGGTGTGAGCTACTGGGTCCAGCCTGTCTTGGTTTTTAACAAAAAAGTTTAAAAAGTAAAAAAATAAAAACTTCAAAAATAGGAAAAAACTTATGAAATAAAGATATAAAGAAAATATTTTGGAACAGCTATACAATATGTTTGTTTTAAGCTAAGTGTTTTAAGAGTCAAGAGTTTCAATAAACTTAAAAGTTTGTAAAATAAAAGTAAGCTACGGTTTACATTATTGAAGAAAGAAACTTTTTTTTATTAAGTTAGTGTGGCCTAAGTGTCCAGTGTTTATAAAGTCAACAGTAGTGTGTGGTAATGTCCTAGGCCTTCACATTCACTCTCCACTCATTCACTGACTCAACCAAAGCAACTTCCAGTCCTGCAAACTCCATTCATGGTAGGTGCCCTAGAGGGCAAGAGGGCTCTCTTTAGATGGAATGTAAGGGTTTAAGTCTAACTACCAACTGATAAACGACTATGCAATTAGATATCATCAGATAATCTCACATCTGTTACAAGGTGACACAGCAAGATACATGAGGGATACAATTCAACAAAAGCAATGGTGCAAAAGAAAACTCTCCCTCACCCAAGCTGAGACAGATAAGGCATGACTCCGCTTTCTTGTAGGTAGTAGGTGACCACGCCACTCCCAGGAGACAGGCTAGTTTTGATGTAAGGCATCACGTTCAGGCCAGCATCCACAGCTTTCTTTGCTAACAATCCTGTGAAATGGTAAACACAGATGCAGTGTGGGAGGCTGCCTGCTCTAGGTGCCAGGCACACTTCAGAAAAGAGCCTGATTTTCTTCAGTCTGCATTTCCTGCCACCACCTGACCACGCTCCCTTCATGTTGGCGCTATCTGCTGTTTCTGCTGCCAAACAGAAATCTAAAGGCTCCCTGGCCAACGGTCATTTAGATATATGCAGTAAACTCAAAGCTAGGCAAGGAAATGAAGAAAGAGATTTGCTTACTTTTTTTTTAAAGAGATAAATGTAAAACCATTTAGGAATATATTACAAAATGAGTTTTTAATTTTTTTTTTAGAGGGAAAATCATCTTTCTAATTATGTTTTATTTGGATGAAAATCATCATTGAAGGAGCCCTTTCTGAAACTATATCAGCTGTGTGCTGGCTGGCAAGGAACGGTCAGCCAAGAAGTAAAAATCGAGTGTTCAGATATATCTTGAAGTGGAGGATCTGCTGGACTTTGGCAGATACAGAGACTGCTACTGGAACACTGGGTGCTCTGTCTTAGGAAGTATCACAGAAGTAGCAAAAACATGAGCAGTGGGGGTGGGGACATGAGGGGACAAAAAGCCACAGACAAGCTGGTAACTTGTCTACAGAAGACTGGTTTGCTCCAGACCAGACAAGGAAAGCTTAGGTGGCAATACACGGACTCAGGCAAAGAAGGCTTTCCTAATGCCCGTGTCTGCTTCATAGAAAGGAACTGCTGACACTGTCTGGTCTGTGGATGGATATAAGAGGAGCTTTGGGGATGACTAAAAACTTGGAAACTAAAGAGACCTTATAGTAGGGAAACCACATATGTAAATATTAACAACTCAACCAGAATTGCGAAACAGGCCAGTGGCCCCAGGTTTTATCAGCCAGTGCCCTGTGCCCTCACTGAGAAACACCTCCCAGCATTCACGTCAGAACTCAATCCTGCTGCTCAGGGGTTTCACGGAGAACAAAGTCTGTGGTAACACTTTATTTTTCTTCCAAAGTCTGACACAAGAATGTAGGCTTTCCCAGAAATCCAGCTTCCTTTGCTTTCCTCTACTTATTTTCTGTGTTAATTCTCAAGAGAGACTATTATGCAGTGTGCATTCGATTTTAAAAACTTTGCTTTGGATACTATTTATTGTGTAGATATTTATGGGCCAATAAATATCTGTATCTGGAAAAGACGAGGTTCAGGGAACTACATGTACAACTCCGCCAAGGCCCTGGGCCCTGTCTCGGGCTATTTCCACCTACACACATGTATGACCATGAGGATGGAGTCAAATGCACTTACCTGCCCCTAACATCACAGACGGATTACTGGTGTTTGTGCAGCTAGTAATGGCAGCAATGACCACAGAACCATGAGCAAGGGTGAATTCAGTGTTATCATAGATAAAGGTCTTATGGTCATTATGATGTTCAGGAGCAACTTGGAATCCTTTAAATCCTTGCTAAAGGAAGAAAAAATGTATATTATATAGGAATATATTTATATAAGATATACATGTATCTGGCTAGAGGAAAATACATACATATAGTCAACAGTTCTCACTTGAGAAGAAGGAATACTTTGGTAACTATAATTTTAAAGGCCAATTCTTAACAAAAGCATAAGTATCTCTGCAAGTAAACTCTGAAATGCTACAGAAAAATTACTCGTTTGAAATCTTTACAAAAAGCAGTCATGATATCTGAGTCTTACTCTGCACTGAAATTAGTAACAATTACTTCCTTCCCACCTCAAAAATGTAAATGCTAAAACTACAAATTTAAAGTTAGTCTAAATTGAACTCAATGACATTATTGTACAGTTTAATGGATATGGACTGATTAAGACTATGGATTCTAACCTTATGGAAATTTAGAAAAAGGCGCTATTTTGACCAGACTCAATTAATCATGATCAACAACGCAAACAAAGTACAGCTGAATATTTGGCATAATACTGGTGTCTCACAGATAAAATCCATCATACATCTTAATCATTCTTTTGGGAAATGTTCATTGAAAATCTACCGCATGTAAGATACTGTGCTAGGTACCTTGCGGGCTCCCAAGGTGATTCAGACACAAATCCTATTCTCACACGTACAGTCTAGCAACAGAAATCATACATGCAAATAAAGTACCAACAATGTAAGTTAAAGAATATGGAATGCTATCGAAGTATTTCAGCCCAAGCACCATGAAGTGTCCAATAAGGGAAAGGGGACTTTCTGCTATGAGATTCTGAGAACCCAATGCAGAGTAGCTGGTATCTGAACCAAGTCTTATGGAGTTCACAGAACAGAGTAATATGAGTTGGAGAAGAGACTTTCAGGCAGGGAGGGGCATGCACAAAGGTGCAACAGCTAGAAAACCTCGGGTGAGTAAACAGTGTGGTGAGGGTCCTGTGAAAAGCAGACATGCTTAAAAAGGTGGGTTGAGTTGTGTCTATGATGGCTCTTGCCGCTTGGCTCGTGACTAATGGAGGAAGTCATTAAGGACTTCAGAAGGAAGAATAAACACCCTCAAGCTTCAGGCTACAGGAAGATTCATGTCAAGTGGGATGAAAGCCTGGACGCTGAGTAACCAGGCAAGAGGTAGAGTTGAGAGGATTCAACCTCTTCCCGCAGGCCCCTACCTTGGCTCCAAGGCAGCTCTCAAAGTCCTTTTTCATGTCGGACACAGCAACTTTGTCCTGAGGCCTTTTGGGTCCACTACAGCAAGGCACTACTGTTTTCAAATCTAATTCCACAACCTGTTGACCCCAAAGAAAAGAAATTATAGAATTTACATTATACCCACAAAGAGGAAACCCAAAGCATGTCAGAGAATTTAAAACATGACAACCATAAAAATAAGCAAATAAACTACCACATTCCAAAACAAGGAAGCCAGTGTTTCTCTTAATCCTCTTAATTAATCTTAAGTGATTAATTTCCCAAGATCATCATGGGCACTTAAGTAGCAGGAGACAGGCAGGCAGCCTTGCCACCTCTCAGAAAGAACAGGGTGGGTGCTGCAGATGCTCAGTGTCCTCCACTCGCCCATCCTTGGAGGCAGCTCATCGCGTTTTATATGGCTAAGTTAGGCCGAAGGTGGGTTTTCTATTGAAATCATACATAAACCATTACACTTCTAAGGTGATTTCGGAGGGATGCAGCCGTTAAGTTATCAACACCAGGAAACGGGCCTTAGTCTAACTGAACATTTCCCCTCCTCAATGTATTAAGAAACCAAACATGGGTCGCAGGGCTAGTTTACCTTGTTGTCTAGAAAAACGTGGATTCAGTTTACTGACATGTTTGTACCTTCACTTCTTTCTAGGTCTGTAATAATGATGGTTTAGCCTTTAAACAGCTCTTGTTCCACTAGTGAAGTCTCTTTATTTTTCTTTATATTTCAATAGATTTTTGGGGAACAGGTGGTGTTTGGTTACATGAATAAGTTCTTTAGCGGTGATTTCTGAGGTTTTGGTGCATCCATCACCTGAGCAGTGTACACTGTACCCAAATTTGTAATCTTTTATCCTTCACCTCCCTCCCACCCTTTGCCCTGAGTCCCCAAAGTCCATTGTATCATTCTTATTCCTTTAGCAAAGTCTTTCAGTGGTCTTCCACATTAAGAGGTGTGAATCAGTAGTTCAAATAGGGAAGCACACTTAACCTACAATTATTAAGCCAGTAGGAATGTAAGAAGTTATATTATTCTGTTATGTTTACAATTGCCTTATCCTTTTGGTTTTTCAACCTTCTAAAACTCCGTTCTCTTGTAATGCCTTGGCAGTGACTAATTTCCTACTAGCGCATTCCCCCAAGAAAAACCACCACTAAAATCGCAGCCTTGAGGAAGAGGAAATACATGCACAGTGGAAGGCACTCTCATACCTGGGTGAAGTCTGGGTCTTGAGAAGGGTCATTGAAATCTCGAAACATTCCTACAGCCTGAAGATATTTTTTAATATACTTTAATTTTTCTTCATCACGACCTAAAAGGCATTTTAAGGAGTAACAAGTAACATAGGTTAGTATTTCCTGGTTGAAGTTTATAAACTGATACTTCCATTAGCAATTATGTAAGTACGCAACATACGCTGCACTTACACACACACCAACAGCTCTGTCAATTTTTAGGCTTCCAGGCTAATGGTTTGACTCTCCCACTGATGCTGCTTTTTATTAGGGGCCATTAATGAATGTGCTGTTCCTATCAAAGTGACTGTTTTCTGAAAAAGATTCTGGTTCTATCTATAGATAACCCGCCTCTTTTGGGGTATAGCCTTTAATTAGGAGAATCTTACACCTGAGCTAATTGTGAAAGCACACCTATGCATTTGCCTTCAACTGGCCACAAAGATTCAGCATTCCACATGATTACCGTTAAAATTAAAACGCATCCCAACCCCACCTGAAACCACTGGCTACTGAGCACTTTCTGGGCACTGTGTCCTAAACATTTTAAATGTATTACCTCAATCTCTAATCCTTTATCATAGTCTTAAGATACAAGTACAATTATTATTCTCATTTATGGATAAGGAAATGGCGGCTCAAGAAGACTAAGTAACTTTCTCATGTAACACAGCCAGTAAACGGTAGAACCAAAATCCAAACCAGAGCTTGACCCAAAAGTTCAAAGTCTTAACTCACGATGCTGCATCACCAGGAATATGACCTTGAACCCTCTGCTATTTAACTTTTATCAAGATCCCGGGGTAGGAGATAATACTCATGAAGTATGCCCAACGGACATGCAGTCCACAATTTCTCTGATGGTTAGAAACAGAAGGTTTGATCCTTTGGCTGATCCTACCACTGATCAGAACTTTTGTTTGTCTATTTGTTTTAGCTGAACTGTAAACGTCATTAGCTCTCAGCACAGACCTCATAAAAGACAGCTGTATGAGCTTCACTAATGTATTTGTCCTGACCTGTTGTTGAGCCCGCTGTTCACTACAACCCATGCCATGCTCTTCATGAAGATGAACAGGAGAAATCTTTCTTAGGGTTTACTATGAGAAAGGGCTACACTATTCTGAAGCAATATGTTTGTTTCAATTTAATAGATGTTACAAATTTGGCACTGGATTACCAAGAAGTATAATGGCCACCTGCAGCACCACGGGAACTAACCAACTAACCTTCCCTCTAGATCCATCTCACAGCTTTTATCCCTCTACCCAGCACACTATCCCTCTCTTTCTTTAGGTTGATTCCCTCAATTATTTATTCTGTTCTTTTAGTTATCTTTTTCACTTAAAATCCTTTGGGAGAACAAAGATGTATTAATCAATTTCAATGTGTTTATATTTAATAAAAACTTCTTTAAATAAACTTTTTCATGACAATCTTTACTATTTCTAGAGGAATTTCCTCAGGCTACAGCAGAAGACTAAGATTTATTTGGAGTCTGTAAGATTCTCATGAAACCCTTCCCATGGCTGTCCCTTCACTTCATCCAGAGATCTGTGCAAGCACCTCTGGGGTACTTCAGCCACCTCCCCTTTCTTTCTCATTATCACATCACACTCTCATTTCTTTTCTTTTTTCTTTTTTTTGAGACAGTCTCTCTGTTGGCTAGGCTGGAGCGCAGTGGTGCGAGATCGGCCCACCATAACCTCCACCTCCTGGGAGTTTCGCCATGTTGGCCAGGCTGGTCTCGAACTCCTGACCTCAGGTCAGATCTGCCTGCCTTGGCCTCTGAAAGTGGTGGGATTACAGGAGTGAGCCACCATGCCTGGACTCATTTCATTTTTTAGACATCCCTGAGAGGGGTGTTGCAGAGTGCTGTTCCTGTATGGGGCCAGGCAGTTGCAGGGTTGGATTCTGACTCTGCTGTTTATTAGCCTTGGGTATGAACACTTCTCTGCTCCTCAGTTTTCTCTAATGTTAATTAACTAGTCAATCAATCTACCCTACAGATCTGTAAAGAGGTTGACAGCAAATACATACTAGGTACCTGGTACACAGCAAGTACCCCATAGGCAGCAGTAACCATTACTAAGATCACTTGTTTAATGTCAAAAAACTAGTAGTAGAGGACCAGTATAAATATCCAGGCTTCTGTAATCTCTGAGCTCTTTCTATTGGCCATACCATCTCTATCTCATATTAACTCCTTAAATCCCAAAAACCCATTTTGACTCCATGGAGAAAAAAATAATTGTGTAACTGTAACCCAGTGCCTTCTGTTGGGTAGAGGCAGAAGGCAGTGCTCAGATTCTTGGTGTTTCATGGAACTTTTACAAAAAGCCCGATGCTTTCAGGGCCCTTCACTTACCTGTTTGCACCAGGTACGTGATACTAACTTCATCAACTGGGAAAAAGGCAGCAGTTGCTCCGTACTCTGGACACATGTTAGCAATCGTAGCTCGGTCAGCAATGGACAACTGGGCTACTCCAGGCCCGAAGAACTCGACAAATTTGCCCACTACCCCAACCTGGCGGAGGTGCTAAGCAGCAGAAACAACAGAAAAGTTTGAGATCTGATGGCCCACATTCAAAATGCAGAACTACCATCTTGCACTTCTTATAAACTAGTCTTGTCAGTAAACCCAAATAGTAAATCAGCCCAACACATTTGTGATCACTTTCAAAACTTAAAAAACAATGCCAACTAAATGCAACATGGTATCCTGGATTGGATTCTGGAGCAGAATTCTGGGACATTACTGAAAAAACTGGTAAAGTCTGTAGTTAAGAGTACCACACCAATGTTAACTTCTTAGTTTCGATAAATGTGCCATGGTTATTTAAGATGTTAACATTATGGGAAGCTGGGAGAAAGATAACAGGAATTCTCTGTACTCTTTATACTAACTCTCCCATAAATCTAAGATGATGTCAAATAGTTTTTATTTATAAAAAGAAAGACAAAGTGTGCCCAAAATACAAATGATATTAAGAAAAATATTTCAAGATGAGAAACATTCTCTTTCTCTAATGAGATCATTGGAAGCGTCTGGAAGTGCTACATATTAAATTCTTTCAACCTAAATAACTACTTGCACTAGTTAAGAAAATAACTTTTCAAAGGCGTAATGAGCAAAATTCATGCTACAAGTATAAGTCAAATGTAACCAAAAGATTCCCATATCTTTTCCACACAAGGCACCAGCCAGGAGTGAGGCCACAGTGACTGACTTAGCTCTGCATAAAGCCAGTTTCTAGCTACAACCACACAGATGGGCTCTTTTGGTAATATGGAATTCTGCCAAATTTTGTGAGGAAGTCCTGTAGTATTCCACATCTTAAGAACAGTGCACAGACATTTGTGATAAGCTATGGTATTCAAATAAATCCAATTCAAAATTTCACAAAAATTAAATCAGAGAGAAATGTGTTTTGCACTTTAACGATAGCATGTCCATGCAAAGGACCCCAGCCTCCAAACTATAAAAGCAAAAAAAATTATGTTTGTGATCATTAAAAACCATTGCTTTTGCAAGAGTCTTCCAAAACGAAATGGCCTTTTTACAAAACAAGCAAATCACAGAAAAAGATGGTCTCCTCTAACAGCTACAGAAAAAGCCTAATACTTTCCAGCTTGGTGACATATATGTTACAATAATGTAACTTATAATACAGAGAAGAGAATTTAAAAAGTAAAACTCTATTCATGGAACTACCTTGCTATTTACATAAAAGGAAGAACCATGTGGAAAACATGTAGTGAAAGCATAAACACATGCATGGGAATGATTCTTACAACCTCAGGATAGTGATTATTTCTAGAAATGGGGAATGTGGCTTTAGCCACAGATATTACATATTATTTCTTTAAAAACACAGAGAGCTCTGAAGCAACTATGACAAAATGGTATCATCTGTTAAATCTAGGTGGTGGGCATATGAATGCCATCTTAATTTCTGTATCATTGAACTATTTCAGTTTAAAAAATTTCCTTTAAGAAAAAGATCGATGCAGCAATACTAGAAGAAAACAAACATAATGATCTAAACTTAACATAGAACACTTCCCTTACCTCATCTCCTTTTAAAATCATCAACCTTGTTTCCTTGCATTGCTAGAGCACTTGGAAACCAAACAAGATTCCATTATGTATTCCCTCCATTGGAAAGCTATCATTGTGGCTTTCCAAGACCACAGAAGAGGATGCACATTGTTACCTTGGTAATGGTGAGCACGATGTCAGTGGATGTTACCAGAGGGTGGGGCTTCCCCATCAGCCTGTAGCCAATCACCTGAGGAAGCACCATACTGATTGGCTGACCCAGCATGACAGCTTCTGCTTCAATACCACCGACACCTGCAATGAACGGCATGACCGGAAGAATGCCTTCATTACCCCTTACTCTATCTCTCAGGTATAAATTTAGTGACATTAACAGGTAATAAACCCAGTTACAACGTTTAATTGGTGCAGAGTCATGTTTCTATAAAGAGCAGTTATTTTTTCTCCATTTTCCTTTATAGAATTTTTTAACAAATGTTTCTCAAAGCATGGTCCCCCAAACACCTGTATCAAAATCCCCTTGATGCCACATGCAAAGAAGAGTAAGCTTTGGGAGTCTCTATTTTTAACACCCCAGGTGATTTTTGTGTATGCTAAATGTACCTAACCCCTTGCTTCTGTTCATTCTTCCAAGCATAATTATTGAGTGCCTGCTAGGTGCAAAGTGATTCTCTAGGCACTGGAAAAACAGCAGTGACAAAACTGACAAACATACCTCTCGGAAACTTGTGGTCATGTAAATTCATGTTACTGAGATGTAATAGAATCACAGTGAATTAAAGTGCATGCCCCAAAACAGCATATATGGAAGAACACTCACCCCAACCAAGAATGCCCAAGCCATCAATCATGGTAGTGTGCGAGTCTGTGCCCACGAGGCTGTCTGGGTAATAATATCCATCCTGATCAAATACCACTCTTGCCAAATATTCCAAATTCACCTGGTGGATGATTCCTGAGCCAGGGGGAATAATCCGCATGTTGTGAAAAGCCTGGGAACCCCACTGGGATTGACAAATGGAAAGAACACTATGAACGCGTGAAGTACTTCTACTCAGCCCATCTCCTTGGCATCTCTCCCTCGTACCCTGCCTACAAAGAAAACCAAACAATGGAACCAGACCCTGCCCATACCTTTAAAAATTCAAATCGCTCTCTATTTCTTTCAAATTCCAGGTCTTGATTCTTCTGTAAACTGTCTGCCCTGTCAGAGAGAAAAATTAAATGTATACAATTTGAGACTTAACATATTAGTGGTCAAATTTATTGGTGATGAAGAAACAAAATGGAATTGCATCTCCTTGCTTGCTGAGTGATAATATGAATTTCATTCATGACTATTTACAATGCAGAATAGGAGAGGTAACTAGTGAAAGTAAAGAGAGTAATTATTGTTTGGTTCAAGTGATTCCTACAATGCCTTTAACTATGGTAGGCAGAAAACATGAACTGAATTGAAGTTAAAACTAATCTAATCATAAAGTCTGACTCTTAGGAACAGACTCAAGACATTCATATGACAACAGCAGCCTGGACATTTAAAGAACTCTTGTTTCTATACTCCTCATCCATGACCTCATTATAACATCTCTCTGACCTGGAATGTGTCTGGGCTGGTATTTTCATCTCTTTATGTTGGGAGACAGAAAACTAGCAATGCTTAGAGGATCAGTACCTTATAGAATCACAATCTCCTGTGTGTAGGACCAAGGTTTATGAGGAAGATGGTGTCACTTGATAACATCTGTGAACCACAGATTATACGCTAAGATTTACTCAACGTCATTCAGTCCATCAGGACAACACAGGGCACCAAGATTTTCTAGGATTTTAAAAATCAAACTGCATTGTTTTGAGTCAAGGTAGAATAAGTCATAGTCACAAGATCGCAGATTCAGCACACAGAATGTGCTCATAAAGCATGTATCATAGGATTGAGTGAACACAGGAAAGGCTAGTAAAATTAATAGCTAAGACCAAAGTCAGACTTCATTAATAAATGAAGTACTGGATAACTACTTCCTAGTACCCAGTAGTTAACACTTTTTGACACTACTAGGAACCAGCAACTATTCTAAATGCTTTGTGTTAATTTTCTCATCTAGTCTCCATAATATCCCTTTGAGTTAGGTGCAACTAATAGCCACATTTTTCAAGTGGGGAAACTGAGACACAGAGAGGTTAAGAAACTTGCTCAGGACCACAGACACTAGTCAGTGGTGGAACTGGGATTGAAACCCAGGCAGTCTGACTCCCGAGTTGACACTATCCTTTAATCCCTATACCACATGGACTTCCCGTCATAGTTAACAGCGACTGTGGCAGTAATGGTGGCAGTGGTAGTTAACACCACCACAGTAACAGCAAGAGCTAAAGGACAACATTACGTTGTGGGCGCTCAGAGCTTTACACATGTGAACTTATCATCACAACCCCTCATGTAAATACTACTGTCATCCTCAATATCCAGAAGCAGCAGCTGAGGCACAGAAAGGTTAAATTTGTCCAAAGTTAGACGATAACACAGTGCTGTTATCTGAGCCTAGGTCTGACTGGCCCTGGGGGTTTCTACCTTGACCATGATACTCTGCTTCTCACTCACTCTGATCCTCCCCTCCCCCAGAGCCTGCCACATGCTACATGCTGAAAATGCAATGGTGCAAAAGCTGTGTGCTCACTGCCCACTGGCACTCTGAGTCTGGTGAAAGGGCAATGGCAAAAGAATGCAATCATCACTGCCTGGTACGGGAGCACTTGGAATGGGCCATGAACCCACCTGGGGGTGGGGGTTGGGGGGATTGGAATGCTTTCCAGAAGGACATGGTATCAATGTGGTCTGAAGGATGACGGTGAGTCAGCCCGAGCAAGATGGGCAGACACTCCTTGGGAAAAAAGGGACCGGAAGCATGTGTTATTTACCTCATAGAAAACACATCTGGAGCCGGGCACAGTAGCTCGCACCTGTAATCCCAGCACTTTGGGAGGCTGAGGCGGGCAGATCACGAGGTCAGGAGTTCAAGACCAGACTGGCCAACATGGTGAAACCCCATCTCTGCTAAAAATATAAAAATTAGCCGGGCATGGTGGCAGGCGCCTGTAATCCCAGCTACTCGAGAGGCTGAGGCAGGAGAATCACTTGAACCTGGGAGGTGGAGGTTGCAGTGAGCCAAGATCGCGCCACTGCACTCCAACTTGGGCGACAAAGCAAGACGCCATCTCAAAAAAAAAAAAAAAGAAAACATATTTGGTTACCACACAGATTTTTTTTCTCTTGATATGAATATTCTCCAAGACAAGTGTTGGTTGCTTTAATAGGTAGGATCAATTCCTGAGACTGCCTAACATGGGCTGGGGTCTACAACCCAGCCCATGGGCCAAATGTGACCCAATGCCCATATATGCTTGGCCCTCAAATGAAGGATGATTTTTACATTTTTAAAGGCTGGGGTGTTGGGGGGAAGAATATGTGACAGAGACAGCATGTGGCCAGCAAAGCCTAAAGTATTTGCTATTGGCCCTTTCTAGAAAAAGTCTGCTGATCCCTGCCTGAGTGAATGAGTGTCTATTTGTGTGTGTACATGTTCGAGAAGAGCAAAAGAGGGAGAGAAAGGAGGGACCCCGGGATAGCAGAACAAGGCAGGACACCTGCACCGACACCGGCATCAGCAGACTCTGTGGACCCTCTGGACGAGACACAGCTGCTCCTCAAGGTACTCATCTCGACCTTCTTAATAGTATGCTGAGGGCTCCATCACTCCAGTTCCCACCTGTCTCTACGTCCAGATCTATGTTTCCAGTGTGTTTCGGGCATGCGCACCAAGAATACTTCAGGCACCATCAACTCAATGGGTCAAACCCTGATGCTGGGCTTTCTTTCCTAAATCTGTTCCTCTTCCCTGTCTGTCCATATCTAATGAGCTCTTTTCCCACCACTTAGTACCTATAGCTATCAAGATATTTATTCCAGAAATAGCCTCCCAACCAGCTGCCCTGTGAGGCCATTCAATCTACCTTTGGTATGGTCACCTCAATCATTTCTAAAATATAAATCATCATGCACCAGTCTGAATCTACCAATGGCTTCCCATTTTCTTATAAAGTAAAAATTCCTTGTCTTAAAAACCTAAGTCCTTCAACCTGACCTCAGCCATCCTTTATAAGCCCTCTCCTAGCCTCCAGTCCAAGCTCTCAGCTTCAGCTACACTGTAGCCAGCATGCTCTTCCCACCCCCACTTTCCTCGTGCCTTTGCATGCTCTATTTGCTCTGAGTGGAAGGTCTTTTTCAGCTCTTCTCTCCTTGGTAAACAGGCTCAGGATCCAGATCAGGTGACGCTCCTTGAAAAACCCACAGACTCCCCAGGTCAGGATGATTTGCCCCTTCTCTGTGGTGACTACACTTATCAACTGCATGAAAGCTGTGTGTTCACTAATTTCTCTCCCCTTCTAAACTATAATCTGTTTCTGGAATAAATACTGGCACATAATAGATCTGCTAAATGGATTTAATTTTTTTAAAAAAGGAAAGCATCTCTGACCTTGATTTCTACCACTACAGGTAAGATTATAACCACATGTGGCCCCTGCCTCTCCTCCCCATCTATTTTGCTATACTGTGAGCACTTATGGACTCCTAGTCATTGTCCCTGATCTTCCACCCTCCAGCACCAGGAGGATGGCAGAGCTTCTCACAGCAGAAGCATGACTGATGATTGACGGAGGAATGTTTACCCCAGAAAATGCTGGGGGTATCAGTTTGATGGAAGTGACATGTTCATAGGACGTGCAGAAGCCAGAAATGCTTAGACTGTTTCATGATACAGTAATTCCAGGTAAAACCCTATTTACTCAGGAAAACAAAACATCTATTATATGGAGCTTGGCTCAATTAGCCTAGTTCTAGTTACTGGAATGAATAGACCTAGCATTCAGAATTTTCTACCACTCAGAACTTCCCTAAATTAGTCTAATCTAGTGAGCTTTTAATAAGGTCTCTAAATGTGAATGGCCTCACGGACTAAAGAGGAAATTTCTTAGTTCATTTGAATTCAGAATTGAATGTAGTTCAGTTTCTGAGAATTACATTTAATGGAGCTCCAGAAATTCACGGACAGTATTAACATGGAGATAGTTTTCACATTAATGAAATCTGGTCAGAAATGTTATGAAATTCTTTTTTTTTGAGACGGAGTCTCACTCTGTCGCCCAGGCTGGAGTGCAGTGGCGCAATCTCGGCTCACTGCAAGCTCCGCCTCCTGGGTTCACGCCATTCCCGGGCCTCACTCAGCCTCCCAAGTAGCTGGGACTACAGGCGCCTGCCACCACACCCAGTTAATTTTTTGTATTTTTAGTAGAGATGGGGTTTCACCGTGTTAGCCAGGATGGTCTTGATCTCCTGACCTCATGATCCCCCTGCCTCAGCCTCCCAAAGTGCTGGGATTACAGGCATGAGCCACCGTGCCCAGTCACTGTTATGAAATTCTTGTTGGAGGAACAAAAAAAAAAGGTGAGGTAACTTTGTAAAATATCACAATAATGTATTAGAACTTCAACTTCTAAAGATGGTGTGAAGCTAATTAGTATTATTCAAACTAGGCAAAGAGCTTACAAACATTTAACTGAGACATTTACCACTCTACCACCCCTTACCCAGTTTTTCTCACTCATTTCCAGAAAGAGCTGGAAATTAGCCCACAGCACACAGTTTCACAGAGTTGAGACATCACATTTAATTCCTTACAAAAATGAGGAGAGAGATCATGAGGTTAAATTGCAAAACCACAACTCAAGAAATAAAAACAAAATACCACCAATAAAAACACTTCTAAAAGATTTTTTTTTTTTTTTTTTTTGAGATAGAGTCTCATTCTGTTGCCAGGCTGGAGTGCAGTGGCACAATCTCAGCTCACTGCAACCTCCACCTTGCAGATTCAAGCGATTCCCCTGTCTCAGCCGCCTGAGTAGCTGGGACTACAGGCATGCACCACCATGCCCGGCTAATTTTTTGTATTTTAGTAGAGACATGGTTTTACCATGTTGGCCAGGATGGTCTTGATCTCCTGACCTCGTGATCCACCTGCCTTGGCCTCCCAAAGTGCTAAGATTACAGGGGCGAGCCACCGCCCCGGCTAGTGTTCACTCTGATTTTATATATACATGTGGGTTTGCTAGATTTGGTTATCAATCTAGGTCAAAGTTCACCCTTGGATTTTGCTGTTTTTCATGTTTTCAGTACATGGTGTAAATGAAAAAGGTCTATAAAAAACTGAAACCACAATTGATTAGAGTCAAGGTCTAAAAAAAAAAAATTACAGTGAACTTGGTGATGACCCAAGTTCAAGATGCATTAACAGCCATGAGCTCTTTGAATTTTGAGTCAATAGAGTTTAGACATGAAAACTATATTACAATTCTGTCTCTACCTGTACTTTCACCTTCTAGGCAAGCAAAATGAAGGTAAACCCATCAACATTAATGAAAGACTCCAAGAAAGATGAAACTGGGCATGAATTTATGGCTACTTTCCTAACTTCTGAAGTGGGTCTTTATCCTATCTCAAACAGGATAACATTTTACGCATATATTTTAAACTCTTCCATTTGAAACCAAAACATTAAACTGAGTTCACGTGATTTAGGAAAAAAGGAAGGTTGGGGAAGACATATTGCCTTAGGACAGGTTCAGAGTCCAAAGGAAAGGGAAGAGTTGGCGAGTACATGGTCTGTTCCAAGTACCATCAATTCAGGGGACAAAGTAGATTTCTCTTTATCCTGAATTTATCTGGTTTGGATGTTAGCAATATTAACTGGAGAAAGATCATTTTCTAAATTTCTTTTGAGGCTGCCAGGAACTCAGTTACATCCCCAAGGAAGCAAATAAAGGTGTTTTTGTTTCCCGTTGAGTGGTTTCATATTCTTAAGTGACTTAATTATAAAAATAATAGCTTCTTATTAGGAAAATGAAGACAGTTGCAATCCCTGAGATAACTGCTTAGCAACTTGGCACCCTTTCCAATCTTTTAATTCCTGCATCATTTTCCATGTAGCTTATGTCACTCTACATATGCAATGTAGCATCTCGCTCGTTGAGCTACAATGTGATCATGTTCCAAGTGTTATTAAAGACTTCATAAATTAAACTCTAAAGGTTACCTAATGATTCACTTCAGGGGTATACCGTAATTTAATAAAGCATTTTTTGTTGGACATTTAGAATGTTTCTAGGCTTCATTTATAAATAATACTTTAATAAACATTATTGGCCATTAAGCTTTTTCTGAAGTCAGCTATCCAGATTAGCTAGATGTAATGGTGCATGCCTGTGATCACAGCTACTCGGAAGGCTGAGGTGGGAGGATTGCTTAAGCCCAGGAGGTCAAGGCTGCAGTGGACTGTGATCACGCCACCCCGGTCTAGGGAACAGAGTGAGAACCTGTCTCAAAAAATAAATAAATAAATAAATAAATGATATAAAGGGTATGCTTGGAAGTAGGAATTCCAGGACAAAGGATATAGAAATTTCTAAGGTCTTAACACATATTGCTTTAATCCTCATTTCTAATTTATAGTGCTATCAGCAGTGTATAAAAGTGTCTCCCTTATAACACCTTCATAATTAATATTTTCTAATCTCAACTATATTGATAAGAAAATGACATCTCAAATATTTACTTTTTTATTCCTTGTGAGATTGAAAAACCTTTATATACTGTTTACTACCATTTGCATTTCCTTTTATTATGAAATGTCCACTTTCCTTTGCCCATTTATCTTCAGGGACCTATTATTTTTCTAAATGGATTATAGACACTCCATATATTAAGTATATTAACACTTTGCCATATTTTTCAAGTTATTTTCTCTTAACTTTGCAGTAACTAAATCTATACCTTTTTTCCGTGTTTCATTCGTTGCTTCTAAATTTAGTCTCATCAAGACATCTGACACGCATACATTTCCTTCTAAAACTTTTAAACATTCATAAGAACTGCTCCCTCCACTAATCAATTTCCAGCACTGTATATGGAAAAGTTATTTCTCCCACTGATAGTTGTTTTGACAACTTTAGGTAGTCATACTTCTAGGTTAAGATAATAGCCTCTTAAAAATACCTGATTGCCCTCCCTGTATCAAAACCCTTGTGGTGTAATCTTGAAGTTACTTCCACCGAAGACGGGTGGACTGTATTTCCCCATTCCAGCTTTGGGCTCAACCATGTGATTTGCTTTGATCAATGGCACCGTGAACAGAAGTGATGCTGTGCTGGTCCTTAGCTAGGCCTTAGAGATACTGTGTGTTTTCACTTGCCCCCTTGAGTCTCTGTGGTCACAAGACAGCTGCTTTCTCCTTTAGCTTGGACCCCAAAAGAAACACACATGGAACAGAGTTGTCCCGGCTGCCCTGCAGATGTATGGTTCAGTGTAAGCTCCCAACCTGGCTACTGCAGTGCAAAGCAGAGCTTCCTGACTGTGCTCACCTAGGTCAGCTGACCTCCCAAACAACTAGAAGATGTGTAAGAAATAAATTCTTACTGTTGACTGCTGTTGAGATTCTGGGACTGTTATACAGCAATAGCTGATTTTTTTTACACCCATCTCTACATTGAAATCTTCACGGTTTTGGCTGGTACAAATTCTGCCTTTTGGAGAAAAGGACAAATGGTAGAGTTTCTTCTGACTTCATTCCCATCTGTTGATTACCATTTTGAGCCAAAGGGCAAAGATGACTAGATTCTTTTTTTTTCAAGTTTAACTTCATCAGGTACTCTTTTTTTTTTGAGACGGAGTCTTGCTCTGTCGCCCAGGCTGGAGTGCAGTGGCACTATCTCTGCTCATGGCAAGCTCTGCCTCCCCAGTTCACGCCATTCTCCTGCCTTAGCCTCCCAAGTAGCTGGGACTACAGGTGCCCACCACCACACCCAGCTATTTTTTTTTGTATTTTTAGTAGAGATGGGGTTTCAACATGTTTGCCAGGATGGTCTTGATCTCCTGACCTTGTGATCCGCCCACCTCAGCCTCCCAAAGTGCTGGGATTACAGGCGTGAGCCACCACGCCCGGCCATCAGGTACTCTACTCTTATAGGCCTTATCAAATCACTAAGTGCTTCTCTTAGATTCTACTATTTTCTATGCCTTTTTGTGTATCTTACAAAAGACTGGGGCTTTATAACAATGTTTAATATCCTGATGCCATTTTAACCCAAAGACTCACTCCCAATACTTCCAACGTAAACCAAAGGCTTTTAGAGAGTGAGATTTAGGGATAAAAGCTCATTAAAATAAACTGAGTCAGGAAAATTGACCATTACTACTTGGCTCCTAACCTCACAAAACTTAGTCATCTCTTCAATGGGCTAGGATTACAAATGGTACACATATTTTGATTAAGAAGTATTCACTTTCAAAGTTTGTTAAGAGGTCAGGCCTAAGTTGCTAGTTCACAACTGCATATTCACATGTTCAGTTCTCTTCTTTGTAACACATTTTATTAAGATTTTTTTTTTTTTAAAGACAAGGTCTCGCTCTGTCACCCAACTGGTATGCATGGCCTAACCTTCTGGGCTCAGGTGATCCTCCTGCCTCAGCCTCCTAAGTAGCTGGGACCACAGGCACACACCACCACACATGGCTAATTTTTAAAAAGTTATTTGTAGAGATATGGTCTTCCTGTGTTGCCCAGGCTGGTATCAAACTCCTGGGCTCAAGCGATCCTCCTGCCTCAGCCTTCCAAAGTGCTGGGATTACAGGCATGAGCCACTGCACGTGGCCAACGAAGACATTTTAATATGCACACCTTTGGATGCTAAGGATGTGGGGATGGATTTAAAAAAACAAAAACAGCAACAAAAAACCTATCCTCAGAGTTGTTTAGTTTTTCCCCACCTAAAGGTGTCATAGACCATTAGGTGTCTATATTCAGGCTTACCAAGATTCTCACTTAATCGAAGAATAATTTCAAGGTCACTCAATTTAGGATATTAAATGCCTATTTATCTGCTCAGCTCTTGCATTCAGGGAGCTGAGAGTCTACTTACCAAGTCAACTCAAGTGACAACTTCCCTTCAAGGGCTACAGGCCCACTCAGGACACTAAATCATCTGGCAAACTGAAGAACAGGGAGCTTCGTAGGCTGGAAAGTAAAGGATTCCTAACAGAATAAGATTTAAGCTGGCCTTGAAGGACAGGTAAGATTTGGCAGGAACAGAGGAGAGGATGTCCCAAACAAAAGAAGAAACACAGGGAAAGAAAGGGATAGGCATTATGGAAACCCACGTGAAGAGGCAGAGATCGCTAGATATGCAACAGTTACTTGGGATCAAAAAAAGGAGTAAGCTTCCAGTGGATGAAAAAGCTCAAACATATACTTGCACTGACATATACTTGTGTTGACAAGCTCTCATGGCAGAACTTCATGTGTGTGTGTTTTCACCTAGACTTCAAGTCAGATTCAAATGCAGGCTGCTCCCACCCAAGAAGTAAAAACAAATAAAAAAAGATTAAAAGAAAAATCCACCCACTCTTCCCCCTAAAACATCTTTACTGCGAAATGTATATGAAGTTTAAGTTTTTCAGAAGATATCTTTGAAAGATTTTCTTCTTTAACTACATATACACATTTTAAAAAGATTCGTGTTCAAAGATTTTGCACAAAGCAGAACACTCAGGTATTCGTTTTAATCTCTCACCTTCTGTTGAAATCAACCTGGATGGAATGATCTATTACAAGATCAGCAGGGCAGACAGGGTTTATTTTCTCTGGATCTCCTCCTAACTTTTTCACAGCATCACGCATTGCAGCAAAGTCAACCACAGCGGGCACACCCCTAAGAGAAGAAAGAGAATAATGCAGAAAATAAGCCTTAAATGTGTGTAACTGGATTTTTCAGCTTTTGCCTCCATTGATAATATTGACAAGGCCCTACCTCATCAGAGGAGCTAACAATGGGTGAGACTTAGAAAAGTGAAAGTTTCTAAGCGTATTTCCTCAGGCAGAAATCACATAGGTAGTAAGTACCATGACTGGGTGGTATCTCTATGTACAATGTTATCACCGTATTAAATTTAATAACGGCTATGTTCTAAATACAGCAATGATGGGAAAGCTGGCACTTAACAACTCTGGAACTCTTACTGCTGTGAGTGCTTCCCATTCACATGGTGGCTTGACAAAGACCTGGAGAAGACTTTCAGATCACACCTTTTCAGTTTTGACCAGATTTCAAGGAATGGATATAATTCAGAAAAGTTGGCTGTGAATCAAATTCATGTTAAATGAATCTCTCTTTTTCGCTTAAAAGTATAACATTTTGGTGATCTTCCTCTAGAAAAATGAAACTGGGTCTCTAGAAGGAATAAAATAACATCAATTAAAAATGGAAATATAGTATCTCAACAAAGATGCTGCAATGGGGAGCAAGGATATCTAAAAATAGCAAGATGAGAACTGAGGCTTAACAGTTATGGTCAAGACTTGTGATGTGAGCTACATCATCTCCCCTCTGCAGACAGCACATCAGTGTTTCAAGTACAAGTGTTTGACACACCTGGTTTCCTGGGCAATACAATGTGGGAAAGAAAAGATTCCAAGATGGCTCTATTCCATGCTATTTCTTTGACCTTTCCCTAAGATACTCAGGACTAGGATCTTTAAGAGCAAGGATAATGACCCTTCCTATTAGAAAAAGTGGCGTGTTTCAGTTTGCTGGACACAATCCTGGTTTCCTCTTGCTGCTGGGGGCAATGACACCCTTAGCTTTCAAAAGTGTCTGGATATGGGTATATAATATTATATAGTCATAAATTAATAAAGTATATAGTCATTGCAGAGTGTTTTCATTTGTTTAAAAGAAAACTTTCTTGAAAGGCTAATGAGGGAGGCAAAGGAGAGTGAAGTGACATTAGGCTCACGTAAAGTCCTGCAGGATGACACGAGCAGGCTTAAATGGCACTTCTATGTTCTTGTGCTGCGTGACATTCCAATGTAGAATATTTTCAATATCCTGTTTCTTCACCAAAAACTCATCACAATTCCGAATGGCTGCTTCCAGAAGAACTCTGATCGAAAATGGTAAGCGCCCTAAGAGTTAAGGATGACAAAATAAACAAAACCTGTGAGACAACTTAAGAGCGCTCTTTAAGGCCAATCTCTATATAAAGTTGATATGAGGCATCAGACTATTCTTCCACAAGGAAAGAGGGTAAAGTGACCAACAGTTTAAAATACATGGATATTTAATGGGTTTAAGAGATATTCAGGGCTGGGCACAGTGGCTCATGCCTGTAATCCCAGCACTTTGGGAGGCTGAGGCGGGCGGATCATGAGGTCAAGAGATCGAGACCATCCTGACCAACATGGTGAAACTCCATCTCTACTAAAAATAAAAAACTTAGCTGGGCATTGTGGCGTGTGCCTGTAGTCCCAGCTACTGGGGAGGCTGAGGCAAGAGAATTGCTTGAACCTAGGAGGCAGAGGTTGCAGTGAGCCAAGATCCATGCCACTGCACTCCAGCCTGGCGACAGAGCAAGACTCTGTTTCAAAAAAGAAAGAGATATTCAGTGGTAGAAAACACTACACACAAGGCCAAAATAAAATATTATTCTTTGGTATTAAATGGTTGTCTTGTCCTGGATTCCAACAACAGACAGTTTCCCTTAAGTCATCACATCTCACCATCAGTCTAGATTTTTATTGTATTATGTGTTTTGTTTGTTTTCGAGACAGGGTCTCACTCTGTTACCCAGACTGGAGTGTAGTGGTGTGATCACAGTTCATTGCAGCCTTAAACTCCCTGGCTCAAGTGATTCTCCCACCTCAGCCTCCTAAATACCAGGGACTATAGGTAAGCATCACCACACCCAGCTAATTTTTTTCTATTTTTTGTAGAGACAGGGTTTTGCTATGTTGCCCAGGCTAGTCTTAAACTCCTGGACTCAATCAATTGCCTGCTTTGGCCTCCCGAAGTGCAGGGATTACAGGCATGAGCCAACACACGCAGCCTATGTTAAATGTTGACAAGTAACATATTTATACATGTATATATACACACAGAGTAATAGTCCTTATGAAACTAATGCTCAAGAAATGAGAAAATAACCCCTTTACAATTATTGTAATTAAGACCAAAGTATATGCACGTACATCTTTCAAAGGAAACAAAACCCTAAACACTATGCAGCATGGCCAGTGGTAACTGGAGTTCCTAAAATAAAACAATATTAATTCATAAGAAAAATGATTTTGTTTATTTATAAAAATTCCATTTTGATATGTGAAAATTACTAAGCAATACTATCTGGAAATTTATCTGGAAAAGACAGTGCAAAGGCAGAAAAAGGACGGAATTTGGAATAAAAAAGACTGTGTTCTTGTCCTGCTTGTCTACAACCCACATACTTGTGATCTGAGCATGTGTCATTGACTCTTGGGCCTTAGCTTCCTCAGGACCTCTTATATTTTATAAACATGACCCCATAGGGTTGTTATTCAGATTAAATGATACGATACAAATGTATACTCTATAAAGTGTTATATAAATGTCAAATGTATGTAATCATTATCACCTACTTAAAAATGACTAATGTAGGAAAGGCATGTGAGTGCTTGTGCACTTAATCCAAGAACATTCACCCATTCTCTGCTACTCCCTCTTCAAACTCTCCTCAAGTGTAATTAATTACATAGCCTAATCATTGTGCAAATGAGATTCCAATTGCTATCACAGCCATGTACCTACCATATCTTGAATCCTCCAATTTATTCAAATTGAAGAATTTCTTTCCTGGTTGTACAGGATCCAATGGCTCAGCAAGGTGTGCGAATGGGTTGCTCATGATTACTGATGGCCACGTGTTCCTGAAAAGAAAAGAGAACATTTAAATTCTTTTTTTAAGAGGTCTGGGACCTAGAAATCAGGACTGGGAGGAAGGCTTAGTTTTTACTATGTTTCTTTTAGTATTGTTTGCATTTTTAACTATGTACACACTGAACTTTAAAAAAAATAGTTAAAAATTTAAAAGAAATAGACATTTGCACAACTCCTCTGTCCAAAGTCTGGTAGGTACGAGGTAGTTTTGGGGAGAAGCAGTTGATTGAGAAGCAGCCTGTGTCTTCCTGGATTGCTAGTGCAGGAGGCGACAGGACACGCCACAGGTACCGGTAACGGGCGCAAGACACTGAAGAGGAGACAGCCAGGCTGTTTGCCCAGCGCCTCTTTCCTGGGAACTACGTCTCACATGCTGTATGCAGCAGCTGCCATTTGTTGGGAGAGAGGAAAGGTGTCTGACCCAATCTGGCCCAATCAACTTCCTTCTCTGGGAGTTCTGAAACTGAAACTAAAGAATGGGCAGCAAAGGCTACTGGAATACACCGTAACTGTGTTTATAAAGGTATATACCCTAGGCCATCTGCATTAGAATTATCCAGGGTTCTTTCTTGTTAAAAATATAGATTCCTGAGTATCCCCTCCCCACCCATTGAACCTGTTCAAGCTTCTAGGTGATTCTGACACACGTTCAGCTTGAGAATCATTGGTGGGCACTGTGGAGTGCCACCAGGTGAGGCACTTAAAACTTAATTCAGGAAGCAGAGAGGCAGCACAGAAGATATGGAAAAAGGGAGGGCACATTCTAAAATGGGAGTCACAATCAAAATGCCTCCAGGGCTCAGGAAGAGACCTGTGTATGTGAGGCAGGCTGTACAGGGACTAAAGAGCCTGGGTGATCTGTGCCCATCTAAGGGGGCAGAGGCCACCTGGCTCCAGCCGAGAGGGCATGAAGGAATGCTTGCCCAGTGTTGAGAGATCATCTAATTTTCCAAGTGAGACTGGTAATCTAGATTTTTATATGAATTCTTGGCTTATAAAAGTTGGCAACTAATTTTTTCTAAACTGTGTGGATCTGTGGCATGATGGCAAAACCAAACACACCTGTGGGCCCTATTCGACCAGAGGTGGCAGGTAACCAGGCGGGCAAGTGCATGGCAGAAACTGAAATGGAAAAAAGGGGCGGAGGGATTAAAAGCTGAAGAGGCAAAATTTAGAGAAAATGGCTGCTGGGTGAATGGGGGGAAATCTATGGGGAGAAGAAATAAGGTTTAACTCCAGGCATGGAGAATTGAAGGCTATTAGGACTGCTTTTGGAGGGAAGATGGTGGCTTTAGTTTTTGAGGTGAGAGTGCATATAGGATAAAGTGCCACACAAATTCAAGAGATTTGTGACTAATTCTAACTCAATGAGCAGCCAATCAGGAGAGGGGAAAGCCCTATAAATAAGAAACCTGCTAGCTTATCTGCAGAAGGAGAAGTTTACAAATCTGTGGGCTCAGAAAATGAAACTAATAATTCCACTGGCTGAAATTCTGAATATATTTAAAAAGGCAACAGTGCTACTCTCCCTTTCATTTGTCACCCATGCTATACTCCCCAGACTTACCTTTTTCACCCTCAAACAGTAGCAACTGCAACAATAAAACTGCTGTTTTGCCTGCCTGGAAAAACAGAAGACTATCTCAACAGAGGCCAGAGTCTCTGCAGGCAGGGGAAGTGGTGGGAAACGCTCACGGGACTGAGCAAGATGGGTCATTCACCTCTTTCAATGGCCTTAAGTGTCTGAATCATCCTTATCTCTGTGTCGAATCCTAAAGGAGCCAGATGCCCCAAGTCTCCCAAAATTTTTGGATTAAACCAGTTGTTAACTTGTACTTATTATCTGCCATTATGCAGTGGGGACCAAATGTGTCAATTTACTTCCCTGTAGCTACAAATGTCTGGGGCATAACACAAGAAGCCTCACATGATTCCTGCTACTCCCACCACCCTACAAAGTCAGTTGGTATTTTTGGGATGGATATAGTGACCAATATGGTGGCTCTTGGAGAAAATGGCTTGTTTTAAAGTGCACTACCATTTGCCTCCCTTTTTCCTTGGAAGCTAGATAACTGTCTAGTTTCACTATATGAAGGAAGTAAATTCTATCTGCAGAAGGGAAGAGAAGAACCAGTTAGTTATACCAGCACATGCCAAGTGCTTTACACCATCTTCTTTACCTGGCAACATCTCCGTAAATGAAATCTATCATTATTTCCATTGTACAGATAAGCATACCGCAGCTCAGAGGGATGAAAAACCTTGCGTAACGGCATACATCCAGTAAGAGGCAGAGCTAGGTTTCAAACCCTGGCTCTTTCTGCCACCCAACACCACCTCTCTAGGTGCAGCCACCCTGTTCTGACGATGCTGCTGTTGGAGGTCACCCACTAGCCCCTAAAGCTGGGAAAGTCATGGGAAATCCTCTCACAAGAGACTCAACTTTGAATGCTGGAGTTGCCTTTACTTCTTTCCAGGGGGCCCCAAGACCAGGTCTGAGCCAGGCACTGTCACCTGTCTCCTGCCACTTTGTGCTGAGCCACAGGTCAGTAGAAAGTAATAGCAGCTGCATTTCAGCAACCAAAGACTAGCTTTGTTTGGAAAACAGGCCCTCCATATAAGCCTAGAGGACTCCGGAATTTGGAGCCACTTCAAGGTTCCACCCATACTATCATTCTTGTCTCAAATCTCCTGGTTTAGTAACTCCAAGACAAAGCCAAAAACAATCATGTTTCAAAGAGGTGTGAGAAGAAAGATCTTTGGCTGGGTAATGGGTCCAGATATAGAGAAGAATCCAGGCATCATACCTCCTAAGCCTACCTTTCCCTGGCCAGACACTCATCCCATCCCTAATCCTTGAGTATTATCACTGGTCCTTCAGGCTCTAAAAATACCTCCAAGATCTGGGGTTTCATCTAGGAACCCCACCATTGGCCAGGAAGCCCTCCCTATGTCCCACATCCACATAAAGCACAGGTCCCACTGTTTCAATTCCTTTCTTATCTCCCACTCTCTCCTCCTGCTACTTTGTTCTTGGCTCTTTTCTGTTTTATCTGATCTTCATTCAACAATAAAAGATAGGAATGAACAAACGAAGACAATGAATGTGGACATTTTGGAGATGGCAGAGTATCTAAATATATATGGTGTTTTTCTTTTTTGAAAGAGGGAAGAGTTAGCATATATCACACTATTTGGGGTTGCTGCTTTCTTTGTTCTATAGAATGAGATGATACTACATGGTGGCAAGAAGAGAAAAGAGGAGAAGAAAAAAGAAAAAAAAAAGAAGGAAGGAATGGGAAATGGTATCTTTTAAGGTACAAGGTGGGAGCAATTATTCAGAACTTGTCCCTCCGGGACGCTTGTCAGAATGATGAAGACAGCTGAACACTTGTCCCTGGCCACTGAATCAAGGAAGACAGATGAACAGTTCTTAAACAAAAGGAATAAAAACGGAGCTACTGTATCTGAAACCCTTCATTACATGTAGTTCACATTCTGAAAGTCAAGATAATTATTTGGTAGAGAAACAGTGTCTTTCAAAGCTAACCCATCCTGAAATACTAGCTGGGTGACTTGTACAGGGTTATGATTAGCACAGGTACACTCTGCATGCAAGAACGGGGGTGGGCATGGACAGTCTGAACACCAGATTTTTAAAGTAGGTCACTAAAAAATAACAAATATTATGCAAAGGCAGGCAGAACTAGGGTAAGACATTTAACAAATGAGCCATGCTCCCAGTAAAAGGGTGGGAGGAGTGAAGAGCTAGGGTTTTTCCCCAACCACAGTCTTGCTACCAACTGACCTTTGGCTCAATTGAGGACACTTGCAGGTGCCTTGGAGTAGCACCTTTTGTGCATACATAGCATGGCACTAAGGCATGGCACCAACCTGTCACCATTCCCTAGGGACACCTTGACCTTAGGTGCTAAGGAGGTAATGAGACATAGAATGTTGAGTTTTTAGTAAAGAACCTTAGCAATCATGTAGCATTCCCCAGAGGAAGACAGAGAGGCCCTGAAAAGCAACTGACTGCCTAGGGTCACAGGACTCATTAGTGGGATAACCAGAAAAAAAAAAAAATACAGCTGATTTGCCCTCCAGTGAAATGCAAATTTCCCTCAGGGGGAAAAAAAAAACCCTTAAAATCTTTCACAGGTAGAGTTGAAAAAAGTACTACCTAGGTGTATCACAGTCTTTTGGTGCTTCTGTGATGTTAGTTCTATAATCACTTACTAAAACTTCCATGTGTTTCAGAATTCCAGAGAACTGACAGCTAAACTTTGGAAAAACAACTTAAATTTAGGTTTCTGATGATCTGCCCTGGGTGCCACTTTTTTCCAAAAGCCACAGTAAGGGCAAATCAATTTTCCTGATATAATATTGCGTATACAATCCCTTACTCAGATTCAAGATACAAAATGTTAGTAAAGGCTCACATTAAATGATATGAGAATTTTAAAGTTGCAAAATAATATATATATGTATATACTAGGATCTGATTTAAGTGAAAAAAAAAAAAAACTTCAAGACCATTAGTGTATATTCATTCATACACACACACCATTGCATATGCAAATGCACAAAAAAGAAAGACATAAAGTTAACATGGATTACAAATAGAATAACACATTGTATAAAGGGGAGACTTTAGCTTTCTATGTTTCATACTCCTGTATTATTCAAATTCTATTTTTGATAAGCATGCATTCATTTACTACTTACTTCTTAAAACACTGGAGCGGTCATTTAAACTTTGTACATAAATACCTACATTAGCATCTCTATAAAATGAGAACTTGACATCTTCAGCAATACCCTTTGAAAGAAAGATAGAATGGTCCGTAAAGTTCCTGGAACTACAAATGCAGATCTTTCTTTAATAATGACTGGTGAAGATGTATTTAAATTTGTGACTATAACTCCAGATAAAGTCCACTTTGCTCCCCTCAATATGTCCTTTGATATTCACCAACAGAGAGAAAGAGCTGTGAAGAGAATCCCTGAATGGCTCAAATTTAGCCTTAGATGAACAGTGCCACACCTCATTCAAGTCAAACACACTAATCCAAGGGGGGCCCTCCCTTCCCACCCCATCCCCAGCTCCCTTTCCAATCTCAGCAGGATACCAAATTTGTTACTGAACCACATCTTCTTGGGTGGTGGTAACTTTAAAAAATATTACACTAAGGAATAGATACAGCCAGGCGCAGTGGCTTACACCTGTAATCCCAGCACTTTAGGAGGTCGAGATGGGCGGATCACCTCAGGTCAGGAGTTTGAGACCAGCCTGGCCAAGGTGGTGAAACCCTATCTCTACTAAAAGTACAAAAATTAGCCGGGCATGGTGGCACACACCTGGAGTCCCAGCTACTCAGGAGGCTGAGGAAGGAGAATTATTTGAACCCAGCAGGCGGAGGGTGCAGTGAACCAAGATCGTGCCATTGCACTCCAGCCTGGGTGACACAGCGAGACTCCATCGCAAAAAAAAAAAAAAAAAAAAAACAGAAAAAGAAAAAAATAAAAGAAATAGATGCTCACTGTAGCAACAACAGAAAATGCAGGTGAGCAAAAAGAACAAAATAAAATCCTTTGTAATACCATGATTTACAGTTTCATTTACCATGACTTTTAAACGCATTTGAATTTTTCAAAAAAAAAAAATCACTAGACCTCACATTGTTTTGCTAATTGCTTTTTTTCACTCAACAATAAACCTCAAATATCTTAATAGGACAATCGTGTGATATTTTACAGCACTTTAAACTATACCATAAAAATCTATCCTTCAGATATATAACAATTTCCCTATTATTAAAATACTTAGGTTGTTTCCAAGTACTAGCATTCAAACAATGATGCCTTGTATACTCACATCGTTAGTAGGTCCTTAAATCATTTCTTTCAAATAAATTTCTAGCTTTCAGTTCCTAGAAAAGAGCCGAGTGAAAGGATTTGCATATCACCAGGATGCCTGGAAAAGGCTGTACCAATTTTACGACCCTTCTCTGAGGCAGTGAGTGGAGGTACTCAAACCAGGCAATAGAATTCATATTTACCTTTTGCCAAGTTGAGACATTAAAAAGCCAATCTTGGTACTTCTTTAATAGCTAGTTAAATTGAGTAACTTTCCATCTGTCTGTTAGGCATCTAAACTTCTTCTTTTGTAAACTGCCTGTCTGCCAGACAGGTCAAACTGAGTAACACTAAGATGACCTCTGCTGATCAAATGTTTTCATCTCCAAGGGGACTTAACTGAGCTATTAATGTGGATGCCTCAGCTCTGTAACTCTGGAGAGACTGAAACTGCCTTTGGCCTCTACTTGGTCTTGAGATATGGTCTACAACATTTCCCTTTACGTGAATGACAGACAGCCCTAAAATCTGTCGACAATTTGACCCCATGCTTGGGTGCACTGTGAGCCTAGTGAATTATAGCAAGGAAAGGGGATGATTATCTTAAATCATGGACAAAATCCTATTTGGGCCAGTACACTTTGCTTATGAGTAGCTCTACATTAAAATTTAAATATTAGGTTGGCAGCTATTTTCTTTCAGCATTTAGAAATATCAACCTGGGTTGATGCAGTGGCTCATGCCTGTAATCCCAGCAATTTGGGAGGCCAACGTGGGTGGACTGCTTGAGCCCAGGAGTTTGAGACCAGCCTGGGCAACATAGCGAGACCATGTCTCTACAAAAAAGTGAAAAAATTAGCCAGTCATGGTGTCCCACACCTGTAGTCCCAGCTACTCGAGAGGCTGAGGTGGGAGGATCGCTGGAGCCTGGAAGATTGAGGCTACAGTGAGCTGTGATTGTGCCACTGCATTCCAGTCTGGGTAACAGAGCAAGACTCTGTCTCAAAAAACAAAACAAAACAAACAAACAAAAAAAAACAAAGAAAGAAAGAAAAAGAAAAAAGAAAAAAAAAAAGAAATTCCGAACCCTGGGTGCAATCCTTGTAAACAGGTTTTGTGAGGGAGACTGCACATAGCATATGGATGGATGCTAAACCATCACTCTTGCTAGAAAACCACGTCAGCCCATACACCCACCCAGCTGACAGGGAGTGATTCAACAGTAGCATTCAAGAGGAGTGCCATGTGATGATGTTTATCTCTCATAGCTAGATTTGTAGAGATGTTTGGAACAGTCGACTTACTTTAAGCTAAATGCCAAGGATCAGAAAAAATAAGATTCACCTTTTAGGGTCTCCATCTCATCTTTGGAATATATACATCTATGAATTTGCTACTTGTGTTATCAAAGTTTAATTTTCCTATGATAGTGAAATATTATAATTAATTACCTTATGATACAGACAGAGGCATAGTATTAATGGACCCTACAAGCAATCACAGGATTTCCACACAGCAGGAGGAGGAGCACAGGAGAGGAATAAACCCAGGCAGCAGAACTATCAGTAGTGGGCTGGACAGGATGAGAATTTGTTTTTTGTTTGTTTGTTTTGGGGGTACATATCAGTTTCCAGGGGAGCTTGTAGAGCTTGAAAGAGCCTTCAGATGATCAACTGAGAATCATCTCTCTATGGTCTAAAGTACTGGCAGCACATCCCCCAATCCTTTTTTTGGGCTATCTAAAGACACCTAAGAGTGGATTTAAAAAGTCTATGCAAACAAGAGAAAAAGATTTCTCCTGTATTTTATGTGGTTTGCCCTTCTGTTTTCCTCTCTTCCTACACCTTCTGAAATATACTTGTCTTGAACTGCCATGGCTTCCAACTCTAAAGTCAAAGTACTATCACTGCATCTCTGAGGTTCACTGCAGCTCATTAAAAAGGTTAGCTATATTTCATTTCTGTTTAAAGAGAAATTAATTGGCCCTACTCCCAAACTAACTTTTGTGTATCTAAACATCATGCTACTTATAAACAATATTTTTGTCAAAAGTAAAATTCCAAGGATGTCTATGTGAACATAAACAACATTGAGGTCAGAATCATCATGGCCAGCAATATCACCAAGGCTTGTCAACTGGGTTCTTTCATAAGAGAGCTAGAAACATTAATTCTTTGTTTTATTTGATGGGGATGCATCTGGGAAACTGCATTAAATATCTCTGAATTTTCCAAGAAACCAGGTCATCTCTTCAATTCTTTTAGCTGTTCATAAAACAAAAACCTATTAAATATGATACTTGTAACTAGAAGAACTTTGAAGGAGAAGTCACATGAGCAATTATCTATTTTTTGGAGAGAAACTGGGGGGAAAAGAGTGGTGCAGAAAGAATGGATTTAACAATATAACCACATTACGTCAACATGTTTTTCTTGAGCACTAAGTATGTGCAAGGTGCACCATATGCTACAGAAAGGAACAAAACTCTGCCTCTATATCAGAAAGCTTTCCCATCTCACAGCAGCTTGTCTCTTCTTGCTCAAATTTTAAGTTAGTGGTCTATTTTCACTCAGTCTTTTCTCATCCTGGATAACTGACCAGAATGTGCTATATATATGTCAAGATTTTAAAAAAAAAAGCTTAAATGATGGTTTTATTTTGAATTAGCCATATAACTTTTCTGTGCCTCAGTTTCCCAATCTATAAATAAGGTTGGTTAACGATCTAAAAAGTCCTTTCTAAGTGGAAAAAATTCAATGATTCATTCATTCACATTTATGTTAACTGTCTATTACATGCCAGGAACTGTTTTAGGTCCTGGTGATACATCAGGGAACAACAGAGACAGAGTCCCTGCCCTCATAGTACTTCCATTTTAATGGAAGGAGACAGACTAAACAAATAAATAAATATACAAACAGAGTATCAGATGGTGACCCATTCTATTGATAAAGCAGGGCAAAAGCAGTAGAAAGTACAGGGGCTGTGGGGAGTGTCAGTGATCAAAGAAGGCCTCACTGATGTTCAGCCACTGTGCAATCCAGGGAGGGGTAACCTCACGTGCAAAGGCCCTGAGGTGGTGGCATGCCTGGTGGGTCTAAGGAAGGCCAAGGAGACCAAGGTGTGTGAAGGCAAAAAAAGGGGAAGACAGAAAAGGCAAGAGGTAGTAGCGGCCAGACCACATGAGGCTCTTTAGCCAATTTTGATGTTGTAAATCTACACTTTAAGCCAGGTGTACAGCTAGGTGTTTGTAGTTTATCAAAGTCCCTACTGTGAGGACTTTGATAAAGACAGTGATAAAGTGGCCACAGTAGGGACTTTGATAAAGACAAACTACAAAGCCTTAACTGTCATCTGGTTTAGACTGTAGACTTCCAACATCAAAAATTGGTTACAGTTTGATAAGAAATTAACTCATATATGAAAATATTAGATTGTACTTGAAAAGTACTTACTTCCTGAAGTCTAACCCTATTTCCCTGAATTTCATTATTAAGTAACACTGGAAATTCTCAGGATGTATCACAAAAATGATCATGACTCACTCGGCAGATGTGTACAGCCACTGCCAAAAACAACAGGACTTGGGGAACCAGGGCCACGCTATAGCAATGCCTGACCAGGCAGCCCCTGCCTCTTGAGGGCTCCCCTAGTTCTGGGCTCACTGGCCAAGAGGGGGCAGAACATCACATGCAAGTCTCAAAGAGAAAGACTTAACACATCCTCTAAGCTCGTTTTAAATTAGTTGCAGCAGCACAAACTCACAGAAATATTCACTTTTACTTTTTAGTGTCACTGTGGGCCAATATAACCAGAGTTTCGTAAAAAGTCTTGGTGAACTTCGACATTTATAAATTCCAGAGACAGGCTGAGAAAGAAAGTCACCAAGGGTCATGAAACATTTGGCAAGAAAGTAAAGGAAGAAGTGGGGGCATTGTCCTGAGAACCCGGCATCTGACCCGGCCCTGAGCCTGACCTCATCCTCTCCTCCTTGAGGTCTTCCTCAGCCCCTTCTCAGAATGTGGGCCCCCTACCCTGCAGCTCCCTATGGTCACCAGTGTGGTGTAGTACATGACACCTGCAGATACCTCAACTAAGCCCTACTGCATCTAAGTTTTTTGGTTTTTTGGTTTGTTTTTTGAGACAGGGTCTCACTCTGTCACCCAGGCTGGAATGCAGTGGCGTAATCTCGGCTCACTGCAACCTCTGCCCCCCAGGTTCAAGTGATTCTCTGGCCTCAGCCTCTGGAGTCGCTGGGATTACAGGTGCCCACCACCACGCCTGGCTAATTTTTGTATTTTTAGTAGAGACGGGGTTTCCCCATGTTGGCCAGGCTGGTCTCAAACTTCTGACCTCAAGTGATCCGCCCATCTCGGCCTCCCAAATTGCTGGGGTTATAGGTGTGAGCCACCACACCCAGCCTGCATTTATGTTTTAAGAGGAGGAGAAGTAGTGGGTGAAGACAGCTGTACTTTCAAAAAAAAGTATTACAAAGCAGGTCCAGTTGAGATCCAATCTTTAAGAAAGCAGCATGATTTCCTCAGGCTCCTGAACTCATTTCGCAGATTGTGGCAATGAACTTTTCTAACTCAAACTTTAGGAATTAGGAATTAGAAAGAAAGGCCATCACCACAAGAGATTGGGTGTCTGGCTGTCAGAGGTCTTCTGGGCCATCTTTACCTCTGTGAATTCGCCAAGTGTCTGAGGCCAACTATACCCAGCCACCTCACCAACCTGGTCTCATCAGGGCTGACTGAACTCGGGGATTATGACTCATGCTAATAAAATTCTCAGAGCTCAATATGCAAACCCATATATTTACTGATTTTACCTAAGAAAGGCAACTGTCAGGAGGACCTGATGCTCCTATTTCTGATCAGCACATTCCTTCCCCGCAGCAGGATAGAAGGATGTTAGAAGCTACAAATCTGAAGCCAGATGCAGGCGTGCTGAGAGAGGGAACTGGAACGCAAACCCAAGTCCATCAGACTCCAGAGCCCAGCTCTGAAGCAGCTGGTTCCATCCCAGTGACTCCCACAATGGCACAGCTGCTCTATTTCACTGGGTTGAAGGAGTGACAAATACTAAAGCAGCATTAGACCTTGATACTTCTGGGACCTGGGCCTTTCTATGTTGTCTATGGGAAGGGACTGGTGTGGATTCATTCATACACACGACATTTACAGACCTGGGATGAAGGGATAAAGTCCCCATCCTCCTTCAGATGCTCAGACTGAGAATGGAGACTGTGTAGGAGAAATCAGAACATCATGCAGCCCATGCTACAGGTGTGGTGGATGAAGGCTGATAAAGAACCACCAGGGAAAAGCACCTAATCCAGCATCAGAGCATCAGAGGGGGAGAGAAAGGACTCTAGGGACAGGTGACACCATGCACAAGCCTTCCAGAATTACACAGAGGTACAGAGTCACTGAAAGAATAAGCTGGCAGATGAAACAATACATTAAAGGCACAAAAGTGTGACATTGTGGGAATCATAAAGTGTTGCACGTGGATAAAGTACAGGGTACATGTTGGGGAGAGCTAAGAAACAAGGGATGGAGCAAGGTCCAGGTTGCTGCAAAGTTTGAATTTTTACCAAAGGTAAGGAGGCACCATTAAAGGATTCTGAGCTGCAATCTTTAAGATGAGATTTGATTTTCAGAGATCATTCCGGTAGGGGTATAGACTAACTCAGGGAAAGGCTGCCAGACTGGTGTCTGGGAGGCAGGTTACGGTGTTATTACAGTCAATAAGACAAGGCAATGAGGAGGTACAGGAGGGAACAAATCCAGGCAGAGTTATGTATTGGGTGAAATTCACCCCTGATATTTCACGTAGGTTCTTTTCTATTTTCCCTAAGTGTCGGCCGGTCTGAGAAATAAAGGGAAAGAGTACAAAAGAGAAATTTTAAAGCTGGAGACATCACATGTCGGCAGGTTCTGTGATGCCCCCTGAGCAGTAAAACCAGCAAGTTTTTATCAGTGATTTTCAAAAGGGGAGGGAGTGTATGAATAGGGTGTGGGTCACAGACATCACATGCTTCACAAGGTAGTAAGATATCACAAGGTAAATGGAGGCAGGGCAAGATCACAGGACCATAAGACTGAGGCAAAATTAAAATTGCTAATGAAGTTTCGGGCATGCATTGTCACTGATAACATCTTATCAGGAGACAGGGTTTGAAAGCAGACAACCGGTCTGACCAAAATTTATTAGGAGGGAATTTCCTCGTCCTAATAAGCCTGGGAGCGCTACAGGAGACTGGGGCTTATTTCTTCCCTACAGCAGTGACCGTAAAAGACAGCCACCCCCAAAGCAGCCATTTTAGAGGCCTACCCTCAGGGACGCATTCTCTTTCTCAGGGATGTTCCTTGCTGAGAAAAACAATTCAGCGATATTTCTCCCATTTGCTTTAGAAAGAAGAGACATATGGCTCTGTTTCCCCCCCGGCTCACCGGCAGTCAGAGTTTAAGGTTATCTCTCTTGTTCCTTGAACATTGCTGTTATCCTGTTCTTTTTTCAAGCAGCCCAGATTTCATATTGTTCAAACACACATGCTCTACAAACAATTTGTGCAGTTAACACAATCATCACAGGGTCCTGAGGTGACATACATCCTCCTCAGCTTATGAAGATGATGGGATTAAGAGATTAAAGTAAAGACAGGCATAGGAAATCACAAGGGTATTCATTGGGGAAGTGATAAGTGTCCCTGAAATCTTCACAATTTATGTTCAGAGATTGCAGTAGAGACAGGCATAAGAAATTATAAAAGTATTAATTTGGGGAACTAATAAATGTCCATGAAATCTTCACAATTTATGTTCTTCTGCCATGGCTTCAGCCGGTCCCTCCGTTCGGGGTCCCTGACCTCCCGCAACAGTTATGAAAGCAGGATGGGCTGGGGTAGGTAAGGAAAAAAGATAGGTCTCGAATAGCTTCTGTGTTTCTCATTTGGGCAAACTGGCAGAGCCAATGAACAAGATGGGAACTGAGATGTTGGTTTTAGACACGGTGGATCTGGGATAAGATCTCCTGCGGGCAGGGGCATATATGGGCCTGGAGCTTAGCAGGTTGGACTGGGACAGAAGCTGGGAAGAACAGCAGCAATGTTCAGGCATTATCCCATGAGTGCCAGGTCACCCAGAAGCTCAGCAGCCTGGAGACATGTGCTGAGTGCCTGTGGGGTGCCAGGCATCTAATCCAATTCCTCTAATGCAGACCCTTGGCAACTTTGTGACAAGGGCATCACCATCCCATTTCACATGAGAGAAGACAGGATCTGACGGGCTAAGTATCTTGCCATGGTCTCATGGCTGGTAAGTGACCAAACTGGAAGTCAAACTCAGGCTCCTGATGTCAGAACCAACTCTCTTGCACCATGCTCCTCCCAACAGGCTGCACAAGTGATATCATTTTACAGTCATTTAACATATTAAGATCCAAAAAACCAAATGCATTTAAAAAAAATAAATCTCATTTTAAAACAATCTCCAAGCTCTAAAGCACATATATGGGGACGAGATGGTAAACCTCATGTTCCCTAAAACATCCTTGATTTTGGCAAAATTTGTATGGTAACTTTTAAAGAATGGGTTGATGTAAATAATATAGGCATTATTAGCACTTAGACTGATTTCTTATCTAAGAAAATAAGGGTTTATGAAACATAACATCCTTAAAACCAATCCTGAGGCTACTTTTGATTCTGCCGTTAATACAAAATTGTACCTTTCAAATGTCCACCCATCATAGCTCTTGTACATCGCAGATTCTTGGCAATGGCTTATTTATCTTATCTGTTCTGAACCAAAAATTCAAACCTGGTAATCATGTAGGAGGATACTTTCCTAGACTGACACCTCTTCTTCATGAACTATGCCACAACTTGCAACTTGCCATGTAATTCCACAATAGCAGTTATAGAAAGGATGACAAGGATGTTGAATAATTAAGTGTTCCATACATGTCTGTTTTGCGAGCAGTGGCCCAGACAAGTTACACTATCCAAAGATGGGCTTGCCCAGGGTTCTCCTTAGATCAAGACAAGAGGATGAGAGAGAACCACACCAGCACTCATGTACAAACAGCCTTACTAATTCATCTAAGGTGGATTAATTTTTGACACCAAAGATAACAGCAGAACATGAGGAATCTGAGGAACAACTGGCTCAGAGAGTGTGATATTGTTTCAATAGGTCTATGGCATTAAGGGGCACAAGAACCTGTTCCGTCTCCCAAAGACATGCTTAGATGCTTTTGCGTCTTCACATATTTGCAACATCTAATCCCAAAGACTCTTGGTTTCCAATTGATTCTTAAAGTCAGTCTCTGCCACTTGCTGCTGAGGACAAGATTTCTTCTATATTCTTAAACCTTAGTTTACTTCTTTGCAGATTTTAGGTAACAATGTCTGTCTGCACTGCTCTGCCCAGATGACAAGGGCTGCTAGGATAATTAAATGAGGTAACACACGAAAGCACTGCATATTCTGGGAACTATATCCCCGTGAGCTACCATAATTCATGAGATTGCTATTGACTTACCTATGGTAAGCTCTAAATGTAGCCTGTTTCTTTTACTGAAGATTTAAATATACATTCTAAAACAAGTATTTAAAATATAGTCAAGAATCACTCTTATCCAATACAAGTGACCCAATATTATTCAGTTGTATTTTTTCAGGTCTTTCGCCTGGTGGGGGGAGGTGAGGGGATGCATTGTATGATTAGAGAAGACCCACAGGCTCCAGATATATTTGTGAAAAAATGACAAAAGATCATTAAAAACATTTTCTTTTTAGAAAGCTACGTTTTTATATTGGCTCGAATTTAAGACTCTTTTCATGGCTCAAATTTAAGACTCTTTTCACCATGATTCTTTAAAATCTTTTAAAATCCAAACAGATGAAAGAAAATGTTCTTGGTCCTAGGTCATATTTGAAAATTTTTCTTTTAATGTGATGGATTTCTTTTATACTCAAAATTTTTCTCCAGTGAACTTAATCAATTCAAATTATTTTAGCATGTATTTCTTGAGTATCTTCTTTGTATTACGCATTGCTAAATACCATAGAGGAAAAGAAGATAGGCACACATTCCTTCTCTTATTTGAAGACTGCAATCTGACAAGGAGACTAAGATAAGCACACAAATACAATAGGATGAGGGTTATAAGAAAAGTCAAAGGAAAGAGACAGCTACAAGTGGGATTCAAGAAAGGCTTTACAGAGAACTACGAAGTGGAAGATGAATTCAGATGCACAGGCAGAGTAAAGAGCAAATACCAAAGTAGAGAAACAGGATAGCGCAGCAAGTGTTCAGGGGCTCCTCAGCAGTTCAGTATGGCTGACATTAGGGCAGAACAGTTTTAAGATTTTTGCTACAGCAGTCAATACATGCTTATTCCTAAAAGACCTAATAAGTGATTCTCGTTAATTTATACAGCTGCAAATGAAGATGCCAACTCTTGCCAGAAAGAAAAAGAGGTGATGTTGAAGAAAAGTATAAGGGAAGAGCCAGGCGCAGTGGCTCATGCCTGTAATCCCAGCACTTCAGGAGGCTGAGGCAGGCGGATCACCTGAAGTAAGGAATTCGAGACCAACCTGGCCAACATGGTGAAACCCCATCTCTACTGAAAATACAAAAATCGGCTGGGCGTGGTGGCGCACGCCTGTAATTCCAGCTATTCTGAGGCTGAGACAGAAGAATTGCTTGAACCCGGGAGGTGGAGGTTGGAGTGAGCTGAGGTTGCACCACTGCACTCTAGCCTGTGTGACAGAGTGAGACGCTGTCTCAAAAAAAAAAAAAAAAGTATAGAGGAAACAAAATTGGCCAATTATCACTGTTCACAGTCGTTGAGGCTGAGGGTTTATACTCTCCTCCCCACTTTGTATGTCTGAGATTTTCCATTAAAAATAGAGAAAAGGAAAAAAAAAAAAAAAGAAATGAAGGCCAGTCGATCTAGGGAGACGGTCAGCTGATGGTGCCAGTCAACTGAAGTGAGAGGGCGAGGCCAAGGTCAGACAGACTCTACAGGGGAAGCAGACACAGCACAATGTGACTACATGGTAAGTGTGCCTGTTTTTCGGTTCGCCATGCCTCACACTCCTCACATTTCTCACTGGGAGACAGTAGCTGGAGTCTGCCACCAGGTAAGCTGGTGGTAAGACAGCCTAAGAAAGATGGAAGAACTGTCCTCAACATACCAGGTGTAAACATACTGTAGGGGTTGATTTTGGTAATGTCAAATGTAATATTTATTCATGCTTGAAAACCCCGATAAGCTAAAATGAAGAAAATCTAAAAAGCAAGTGTGCTGTATCACCTAGAGAAAAGCACTCAATGTTTTGGCATATCCGCTGCCTTTGTACATGCAGGGGCACACTCGTACATATATGCACATGCTTTCTCTCCTCAGAAATACAGAATCACAGGGAAATACTGCTGTGTAACATGCTTTTTTTAGTTTAAAAACTATACAACACTATTTTGTAACACCAGTGTAAAGGCTGCACAATAGCTTGCTAAGGAACACTTTGAACTAGTATTACTAACCCTGGACAAGAGTCAAACATTAATACTGTTAAATAAAATGTTTTGACTTGAGAGTCTCTCTCTTATTTTTATACTAATATTATATATACAAGTTCAGAGCTGTGATATGACAAAGCAGTTTTTTTTAATTGGGGGAGGAGGATGGTGGCAACATTCCTATCAGAGAAATAACTCTATTTTCCTTCCGAAAGTATACGTTGTTGGGATTTTAGGTTTACTATGTTGTAAAAGCAATATATGAATGCTACAGGCTATCCTCCCTTATAAGATAGGCACACATCTGTTATTATGAAAAGTAACAAAAGTTCTCTGGCTTCCTTCTACCTCATTCCACTGCCCAGAACTGGCTACTGGTCTATCTTCTAAACATTCATGATGCTACTTTAAATACATGGAATGGAATATGTAATGACACATGCACACAACTTATGTACACATAGATGTACAAATATGCATACACACAGGTATACACACACAGTGTACTCTACAATGTATCATATACATATATAACGAGGATTTTTTTTTTTTGAGACAGGGTCTTACTCTATTGCCCAGGCTGGAGTGCCGTGATGCAATCATGGCTCACTGCAGCCTGGACTTCCCAGGTGATCTTCCTGCCTCTGCCTCCCAAGTAGCTGGGACTACAGATATGTGCCATCACACCTGGCTTTAATTTTTTTCTGTATTTTTGGTAGAGATGGGGTTTTGTCATGTTGCCCAGGTTGGTCTTGAACTCCTGGGCTCAAGCGATCTGGACTCTCAAAGTGCTGGGATTACAGGCGTAAGCCACGGTGCCTGGGCCTTTCCATCCTTTTTAACATTTCCTTTGTCTCTGCCCCTGGAATCAAGACAGCTCTTAGAGACACTACTAGTTTTTGCATAATAATATGCAAAATTCACACAACGGGTTAGACTGCAGGTACATCCATTCTAGCATAACATCTGAGATGGCTCCAGGGAGGGAGTTGGGAATAAGACCCATATGTGGCTCTGTCCTCAAAACTTCAACACACTTGGCCTTCCTTTAAACAACCTACTATGGAGTCTTCCATGATTGATTCCAAATCCTCTACAGTTACTACTGCCCGCTACGTCCATCTTGGAGACTCAAGTTTCTGGTATTCACGCATAAAGTCCTGAAGAATCTCCTTTTCCATAAAACTCTCTCTTTGAAACATGGTTCTTGTTCTGATAGTCTAGGTCAGGAGTCTGCAAACTATGGCTGGCCCTTGTTTTTGTAAATCAAGTTTGACTGGAACACAGCCATGCTTGTTTGTTTGCATGTTGTCTATTGCCGCTTTCGTGCTTCAACACCAGAGCTGAGTAGCTGCAATAGAAACTGTATAACCATAACCCAAAAAGCCTAAAATATTTCACTACCTGTCCCTTTACACAAAAAGTTTGCTGATCTATATTTTAGAATATGATGAAAACAGATTTTTTTCCTTATCAAAAATTTTAGAGGACTTGAATCATACACCCTATATCTAGGATCTTTGTCTAGGCTAAAGAGTCTGTTTTCTACTAAAAAAACAAACCAAAAGCACCTTGGCTCAGACAATAGCAGTGTCAGCTGGCAAAGGTTTAACAACTTGAACTCCAAGAGGAAAAAAAAGCTCTGATGTAGCATTTGCCAATTTCCATGGTGTTATTATTCCCACCATGGCTTATTTCAATCTAAAAAATGTGTTGCCACTGAACACGGAGTTAGGAAGAGATATGCACAAATGCTAGTATAAACCAGCTCTGAAACCACTGGCTCCTTGGGACACTTACTATCAATGGCCTAACTCCTCATTTTAAAGTCAAAGACACTGAGACCCAGAGAAAGTGTCTTAACCCGAGGCTGGCCCAGTGACTGGCACCAGGTTGGAGGTAATTTCCCTGTGAATCTGGCTGCCTCACAGGAAATTACTTCCTATGTAGAAGGAAGAGTGGGGGAAAGAAGGCAAAGGAAGTTCTTTGCCAGGCACGTGGTGATACACGTTGGTTTTTATCATCATCTTCACAGTGTGGGACTGGTTTCTTCAGCACATGCCTTTGAAGCACACTTTAGGTAGGGGGTACTGCTCTTCACACAGGACCAGCTTTCATGTACACACTCTGACTATATAATAGACTATCTCAATTAACCAGCAGTTATCAAAGCTATCAGACCATAATTGCCAGAAAGACAGGGACTGCATCTTTTGTGCTCACTACTTTCCTGGCATCCCGCACATAACTGGACACATGAGAAATAGGTGGCCAATAAAAATCTACTGAAAGAATGAAGGAATGAGACCCCACCATCAAAGTGGAATTTTTTAATACAAAGAACACAGCAGGTGCTCAGAGTTTAGATCCCATTTCCTTCTCCTGTGGACTTCTCCTCCTCCTCACCTGTGGACTGTGCAACACACACAACACGCTCATGTGCATGCAACATTTCTCAAGTATCGGCTGTAGCATTTAAACTGATCCATCAGAGCACAAGAGGCTCTATGGATGAAGGAACAAAAGGGAGGATGGAGTTAGAAAATTTCTTCCTCCCAAATATATACACATAACATCTGTCTTGAACTTGTTCTGACAAGGCACGAAGCTAAGGAAAGAGTCCCGTGAAGGACCTCACCTACCACACTCCAGGATGGTGGAAACTGCTTTTTGACAGGGGCTGAGGAAGCACCACTCAGAGTGACACCCTCTGAAAGTGGAAAGTGAAAGAACGTCAAGACTGGAAATCATTATTCCAATAAACTCAAGGCTAATAACCATGCAACTGCAAACAGAAATGAACACGTGCAAGGGAAGGCAAAAGCATGCCTCCTTGTTCTTTTGGAAATAACTTCCTGACTACTTGGTAACTCTCACAGGAACCCCTACACACTTGGCATGGTCTCCCCACTGGCACTTTTGTGAGCCTACAGGTCCTGTTTGCCACATCACTGTTGTAATCCTGATGCACAGACAGGTCAGCTCTGCAAGCACAGAGACAACCAAAGGCATGTGCGAAGCCTTGCTGACTTTTCAGGAGGCTGGCAAGGTTCATCACAGCCTCACGTGGGGACCTAGTACATGGTTTCCAAAGTGAGATCAAACTTGGTTCCAGATACCAGAGGTTAATACTGTCCATGGCATGAGGTGGTGTGTGTTCCCAATCAGAGGAAGGATCACAAACAAGAAGCAGGCCCAATGAATGAAGCCTCTGAAGCATTTCCTACACCAGCATCCTCAAAGTGTGGTGCAGAGAACTCCTAGGGATCTCCAAAGTCAAAACCATTTTCCTAGTAATAAAATGTTACTTGCTTTTTTTCATTCACACATTTTCAGGAGTATACAGTGGAGGTCTCAAGAGGCTACATGATATGTGATATTGCAACAGACTGCAGAAGCAGCTATCAGAATCCAGCTGTCTTCAATTACGCTTGACATCAAAGAGATTTGCAAAAATGTAAAACAATGCCACTCTTCTCAATCATTTTCTGTTTTGGGAAATATAGTTCTTTTTCATAAAAATAGGCAATGTTAAGATATAATTAGTTCACTATTCTTTTTAAATGAATTATTATAGTACAAATTTCTCAGTCTTACTTACATATTATAAATATGGATAGATATAACACACATAAAAGCTCCTTAAGATACTAATTTTTAAGAGTGTAAAGGAGTACTGAGTACCAGAAAAGTTTGGGGACTTCTGTCCTAGAGGTTGTCCCCCAGGGAAGAGAGTTACATGTGTTGCAAGAAGGAAGATGCCATTATGATGTGCTAGCTGAATCTAGAAAAAAATGACTTGGTCATAACTGCAGCCCAAGCTCCTTTCTAGATCTCTGAATCTATCATGGTGGGCTCTGTGTTCAAGCCTCCCACGAAGGGTCTCTTCCCCCTCATCCCATTTTCCCTTTACCCCTTGGAGTGGATTCCCGGATCTGCCCGCACAACTTTAGCAAGGGTTTCCCTATCCAGCCAGCCGGGCCTGGGCGAGGACTCCCAGTGCGGGCCTCACACCCTCGGGGTTAGGACTCCCAGGACTGGCCGCACACCCTAGGCAAGGACTTTCAGGACAGCACGCACAGCCAAGGCTAAGAAGGGTCTAGGAAAGCCACTTCCAATCCCTGGTTTCTCTCCCCGGCATGACATAGACTGGGGACAGGGTGGAGACGTCAGTCGCCAGAAACACGTCCCCGATTCTCCTCTCAGCCTCCCCAAGCTCGCCTCCGTGTCCCCCGTGCCGCCACTGCCTCGGGCACCTCGGTAAAGGCCCGCACCGACTCTCGAGGGATACAGGGTGGACGGCGCTCCCGCCTGGGGACGTGGGTCGGGCCGCGTCGGTACTCACCTCCGACTGCACGGCGGGGCTCCCGCGACCGGCGAACCTGACCCAAGCAGCGGGACGCGTTCCCGTGCGCTGCGCGGTTCCAGCTGCCGCCTCCACGCTCCGCCCCCTCTCGCCCCCGGGGCCGCCGCGCGATGGGCGGAGCAGGGGCGGGAAGGGCGGAGCAGGGGCGGGACGGACGGGCAGCTAGCCGAAGAAGGGGCGGAGCCTGCGGGCGCCCCCGCGGGCCTGGAGGACTTCGCCCCGGGCTGGAGGCTAGGGTTGCGAAGGGCTCCTCCGCTGGAAGTGGGAGGGCTGATCCCTCGGCCCGGGTCCGCTTCTGCCAGCATGGGACCTGGGACGAGGGTGTCTGTTGCTCACTTTGGAGCTTAGCATGTGACTCCCCAGCCGGCGTTAGGAAGTGACCAAAGGGTGGGGAAGAAATGGAATTATTTTTAAAAAATGATTTGGCCATAACTGGAGAGGCTTCATGTACGTGTGGTCACTTGGCCCGCCTCCCTTCTCACTTTGTCCGTCCCCACCCTACCCACCCTCTCCACCCTCGCCTTAATTCTTTGCGCAAAGCCTGCCAAGTGGACATCGGAGTCACGCTGTCAGAATAGGACTTCAGCATTTCCGTGGCAAAAGTTCTATATGTAGATTTCCTTGGACATGTAACAACACTTTCTAATGCACGATGTTCACCGGTCTGAAGTCGGAGAAATGGCTGGGAGATGGCAGCAAGTGGGCTTTCACAAGATCTGCTTTTCATGTTGGTAGGAGTTGTGCCCTCTTGGGTGAATGGCGTTCAAAGAAGTGATTAGATCTTTCTAGATGAAAGGTGGTGAGGTTTTCCTGCCCAAATTATTTGGAAAGTTACTGTAGTTTTCTGAATAAGCAGCTTATAGGATGAGTAAACAATAGCCAGTACTAATAGCCCCCCTGCTACTTTATACTGCCCTCCTATTCTGCACAAAGCCCTGTGATCGACTCTTTCCACGTTATTCAGTTCAGCTCTTCCAACCACCTTACAAGTAAAGAATATTACCCGTCTTTGCAGGTGTGCAATGCGCAACAGCTGAGACTCAGTCCTTAGGTTGGTTTGACACCAAAGCCTACACCTTCCCTGTCATACTGCACTATAGGGTACAACTATCGTCTAGTTATATTTAACTTTGAAATATAAATACTTATATTTATTTTGAAAGGGGAAGTAACTGTATTTCCAATATGAGAGGAGACTGTTTTCCCACCCACTTCCTAAATCCTTTCCATTCACATTAGTAATTAAATTTTCTTTGAATGTCCACCATATGGCAGAGGTGCACCACAATCCCTGAAAAATCATGCTCCAGTCCCCTTGGGAGGTAGGGAGAGTAGGGGCAAGGTGAGAGTGAGTAGAAGGCTGGGGAAGTCCGATGAGGACACATCCAGCTAAATTGCGATTCTTAATGAGGCAGCCATTCGGAAAGCAAAGTATCTAATGTTCAATGATAACATCCGTGTAACTGAGAATCCTTCGCAGAAAACAATCAAATCAGAGCTATGAAGGGAATTGAGATTTATTAGTAAGCACGCTGGTCAAAACCGTGAAGGAAATAGTTCCACATCCCCCCAGTCTGTTGCTCTTGGACGTTGTCACCAGTGACGTGCAGATCGTGAATCCCAGGGCCTGTCCTCTGTTCCTGTCCTTACTCACTACTCTGTGGTATTTGACACTGGCGATTCGTTTTCCTAGAAATGTTAACCTCCTTTTGGCTTTTCAGCCCTCCGCTCTTAGGAGTCACCTCTTCCCTCTTTTGTCCCTCTTTTTTAAGGTCTTTCCCTACACTCTCTCCTCTTGCTTTATATGTTTCTCCATTTGCTGAGTTTTTCTTCATCTATTTTCTCAGTATGCAGACTGCCTGCCACTTCTAGCTGAAGCCTGCTATGTCTCTGTCATTGGTCTTAGTTAACTTTCTGACCTTCACACTCTTGATTTGCAGCCATATGTGGCAACCCCACCTGGATATTCCAAAGGTGTCTGTATTAGACCGTTCTCACGCTGCTGTAAAGAACCCTGAGACTGGGTAATTCATAGGGAAGGAGGTTTAATTGGCTCACAGTTCTGCATGCTGGGGAGGCTTCAGGAAGCTTACAATTATGGCAGAAGGGGAAGCAGGTATGTCTTACCTGGCAGCAGGCAAGAGAGTGTCCTCTGAATGCACAGTGGTCCTCCTGAATGCTTTGAGGGGACCTTAGAATCCCTAAATTTTTCACTGAATATATGTCTTCATACCAGAGAAAATTTGAAATAAACGTTTTGTTCCTCTTTAAGAAAAAAAGAGTTAAATTCATAACAAGGAGAGGCAGGTCTTAGCCTCATCTTGGCTCCCGGTAAATATCCAACGGCTCTCCCCTGATGCCCTCTTCCCACCACACCTGCTATACGTTTAATTTTCGTGCTCTCTTAATTACTGCCTAAGGGCCTGATCCCTGAGCTGCCTTCCCAGGGAACAAGAATCCTCTGGGCAGCTGCTTACAGTTTCTCTCAGTATAGCTAATAATAAAAATCATCCCCATGATCCAATCACCTCCTTCCCTCCACAGGTGGGGATTACAAACCATATCAGTGCCTGTCATTCATCACATCTAAAATGGGAATTTAGTGTCTTCTCTAACCATCTGTCTCTCCCCTCCTATCCATTTAGTTTCTTTTTCATCCTAATCCTGCATCCCGAATTTGTATTTCATGATCTGCTGAGAAAGCTAAATGTTTAAGGGGTATATTGCCATGGCATATTACTACGCTCTCACAGGGTCCACCTAACAAATATTTCTGTCACGATATAAAAGGTTCTGCTAATGGCCCAGCTGAGGGCATATACTCTAGGGACCTTCAGAGAGGATGCCACCCAAGCATGTAACTGCTCAGGCACCCCAGCTGTGCTCTGGTGGGGGGCAGAGGCAGAAGGACCTTCATTTGAAGTAACAGTATTGTTTTAGCAGCCTTACCTGCTAGAAGGCTCTGCTGCTATAAGAAGAACCATGAAGATTCTGCCAGAGACCTGTTGAGCTCTGAGGAATGCCTCATCATATTCCACACCGATTTCAGTTACTTGTATATGCTGGACTTCCTCAGTTTATTGAAAGGTCCTAGGAACTATACCCAACTAACTTTGTATCATGCTTTACAATTTATACTGCATTTTCACATACATGTCATTTAATAGGAAGGGAGAGGTGTAAGAGAAAAAGTCAAGCATAACGCTTCTCAAACCTTGGGGTACATTGAAAACATGCGTGCCTGTGTTGTGCTCTTAGGAGGCTGAGTTTGATGTGGGTGGTCAAAAGACCATGCTTTGAGAAACACCAATGGTAGTTCTCCGAATCTGGGTGTTTCTCAGATTTACCATAGGGCACTGATAAAAATATAGCCTCCTGTATCCTCTGCCTCCTAGAATGTCTGATTCATTAGGTCAGGGTGGGGGTCTGTGTTCAGATTCTGAATACGCTACATTTTTACCACAGGTGATTCTGCTGTAGCATGTCCCCAGATTGGCACCAAAGACCTGTTACCTAGAAATATACACTCCATGAGGGCAGGGGCCCATGTCAGTTTGTTCATCATCCCTAACATGGAGTCTGGTGCATAGTAGGTGCTCAATACAAGTTTGTTGACTGACTTACTGTCAGTGTCTTTCTATTGCTTACCCTTTGCTCTCTGTTGGCCTTTGCGCTGTTCAGAGTCCTCTAGAGTGGCACGGAGGGAAGACATCTGTTTGGCAATGAATGAAGTATAAAATGGTCCTCCTGAATGCTTTGAGGGGACTTTAGAATCCCTAAATTTTTCACTGAATATATGTCTTCATACTAGAGAAAATTTGAAATAAATGTTTTGTTCCTCTTAAAATCAAAGTTATATTCATAACAAGGAGAGGCAGGTCTTAGCCTCATCTTGGTTCCCGGTAAATAGCCAACTGCTCTCCCCTGATGCCCTCTTCTCACCACACCTGCTATACGCTTAATTTGCATGCTCTCTTAATTACTGCCTAAGGGCCTGATCCCTGAACTGCCTTCCCAGGGAACAAGAATCCTCTGGGCAGCTGCTTACAGTTAAGCACCATTCCTCTCAATATAGCTAATAATAAAAATCTTCACAACCGCCTGTTGATGCTGGTAACATTGTTATTGCCATAGTTTCACAGATGAGGAAACTGAGATTCAGAGTAGTTACACAGAATGCTTCAGTCATGAAACTTAAAGGGTGATCCTGGGGTTTTAGAGAAGGCTGGCCTCACTCCATAGCTTGTGCTTTTAAGCATTATGCAACAAAATCATCAGATACCCTGAAGCTGTAAATTATTTGTTCTTTGCAGAAGAGGGACTTAAATGTTCTAGAGAAAAGATTTGTTCTATCACCATATAGGCTGGAATTCCTTATTCACGTATTTCCAGGGCTTGTTCTCCCTGATGATAGCACAGAGATCCCTGCTGCAGCCATGTAATGTAGGGACACCTGGGTAAAGAGAGTCCTCATTCTGGGGGATGGAGGTGTTGGAAATCAGGGGCAGCTTGAGTATGAATTCCAGGATTGGTACATAATTCCTAGGTGTCTAGTACCATCTTTCACATGTGTTAATTTGCTGGATACTTTTTGAGTACTTTGTGTTATATATTTTTCAGAAGGGAGAGGGAAGTACTCTGCAGGATTGGTCCTTTAAATTATTTAGGTATACACAAAATAAAACATTTTTTTCAAGAAAATAATTTGGTAATGTTGACAAATGAGAGTAAAAATAAAAATTTGTCACTAATTTGACTCATTTCTAATTCCAGTTTATGATGAGATTACTTCCACATGTCAGTTTAAGTGCTTTTTAAATTTTCTTCTTGAGACAGGATTTTTCTCTGTTGCCCAGGCTGGAGTGCAGTGGCAGGATCACGGCTCAATGCAGCCTCGACCTCCTGGGCTCAAGCAATCCTCCTACCTCAGCCTCCTGAGTAGCTGGGACCAAAGGTGTGTGCCACCACACTCAGCTAATTTTAAAATTTTTTATAGAGGTGGGATCTCCTCATGTTGCCCAGGCTGGTCTCAAACTTCTGAGCTCAAGCAATCCTCCTGCCTCGACCTCCCAAAGTGCTGGGATTACAGGTGTGAACCACTGTGCCTGGCTCTAAGTGCTTTTTAAAATGGAAAATCCTCTTTCCCTCCTCCCTTGCCCCATCCTTGGTGGGAGGAAACAGCAAACATTTCGTCTGTTCCAAGTTCATCCTTCAAAGTACCATGCAGATTAACTTAACCAGATGATGGTGAGCTACTGCCCTCTGTTGATGAGTGTGTGGTAAACACATTGTCAAACAGAAAAAGCTGAGAGGATGGTTAGCATTAAGAGAAAAAACAATTGGGCGACAGAGTGAGAACTTGTCTCAAAGAGAGACGGAGAATAAGTATTAAGAAGACATAAATGGATTAAGAAAGCTACCTTTTGTTCCTTAATTTCACATTTACTGACTGTCCTAGAAGTTAGAGAGCAGAAACTTAATCAGTCCACAAACTGGCTCTGCTAAGAGCTTGGTGTGATGAGTCCAAAAATGACTATGATTAATTCTTACTCTGAGGGACCTGAGAACTTATTGTTTTATTATTTTCCCACAGCTTTACTGATATTATTTTAATGTTTGCCCACGATAGTACAGCATTCATCTTTCACATATCAAAATCTAATGTTAATTGTTATTTTTTATCTTTTTTTCCCCAGATAATTCCAGGTTCTTACAACCTTCTAACTTCATGTACCCTCCTTTTGATTTCTATGCCATTGTTATCTTGTATTTTATAGTCACACATTGTAACTCTTGAAGGCATTATTATTTCTGTTTATAGGGTCAATATTTGTTTAGATTCAAGCATACTTTTACCATTTTTGTTGACTGCTTCTTAGTAGTTCCTCTCCTCCCTTCTCCCATACTTGGTGGGAGGAAACGACAACAGACGACACAGAAAGATACATTTGTCTGTTACAAGTCCATCCTTGAAAGTACCATGCAGGCTAACTAAACCAATGATGGTGAGCTACTGCCCTCTGTTGATGAGTATGTGGCAAACACATTGCTAGCCGTAAAAAGCTGAGAGGATGGTTAGCATTAGGAGAATCAATAATTGGGTGACAGAGAGTGAGACCTTGTCTCAAGAAAAGACAGAATAAGTATTAAGAAGAAAACATTTTCTACTGGTGATAAATATTCTCAGGCTTCATTTGTTGTGAAATGTCTTTATTTTACTGTCTTTATTTTTTATTTATTTATTTTTGAGACGAGTCTCGCTCTGTTGCCCAGGCAAAAGAGTGCAATCTGGGCTAACTGCAACCTCTGCCTCTGGGTTCAAGTGATTCTCGTGCCTCAGCCTCCCGAGTAGCTGGGACCATCGGCGCCCACCACCATGCCCAACTAATTTTTGTATTTTTAGTGGAGACGGGGTTTCACCGTGTTGGCCAGGCTGTCTCGAACTCCTGACCTCAGGTGATCCACCTGCCTCGGCCTCCCAAAGTGCTAGGGCCCTCACTCTGTCACCCAGGCTGTAAGGCAGTGGCACGAACACAGTCCATTGCCACCTTGACTTCCCAGGGTCAGGCAATCCTTCCACCTCAGCCTCCTGAATAGCTGGGACTACAGGCATGCACTACCATGCCTGAATAATTTTTAATTTTTTTTATAGAGACAGGGTCTTACTATATTGTCCAGGCTGGTCTGGAACTCCTGAGCTCAAGCGATCCTCCGGCCTCAGCCTCCTAGAGTGCTGGGATTATAGGCATGAGCCACCGTGCCCAGCCTACTGTCTTTGTTGAATAACATTTTTTCTGGATATTAAATATTGGATTGGCAGTTATTTTTTTCCAGCATTTAAAAGTATCAGTCCAGGCCAGTCACGGTGGCTCATGTGTATAATCCCAGCACTTTGGGAAGCTGAGGTGGGAAGATCACTTGAGCCCAGGAGTTCCAGGCAAGCCTGGGCAACATGGTGAGACTCTATCTCTAAAAATTTTTTTTAAAAAATTAGCCAGGCGTGGTGGGATGTGCACAGTCTCAGCTACTCAGGAGGCTGAGGTGAGAGAATCTCTTGAACCTAGAAGATCGAGGCTGCAGTGATCCCTGTTCTTGCTTGCCACTTGCACTCCGCCTGAGTGACAGAATGAGACTCTACCTGAAAAAAACAACAACAAAAAAATCAAGCCATGTCTTCTGGCTTTGCTAGCTTTTGTTGGAAAGTTCATTGTCAGTCTAAATCTTCCTGTTCTCAAAGTAATGTTTCTTTTCTCTGGCTACTTTTACAATCTTCTATTGTCTTTTGTTTTCACCAGTTTGAGTTTTCTATACTTTTATTCTTTTCTGAGATTCATAGGACTTTCTGAATCTATAGCTTAATGTATTTCAGCATTGTTGCAAAAAAATTAATTATTGTCTTTTAAATGTTGCTTCTGTCCTATTCTCTGTCTCTTTTCCTTTTGGAATTATAATTTCACATATGTTAGACTGTCTTACTATAACCTTTATGTCTCCTATGTTTTCCATTCTTTAGTCTCTGTCATTCATTCTGGGTATTTCTTGTTGACATGTCTTTTTGTTACTATAAAAGCAGTGGATTCTCCAATCTCACTTTTCCTCATCTACAAAGCAGATTCACTATGCTAAGCATTCCATCTGGGCCCCTGCCTATTTCGTCTGTGGGATTTAGTGGCAAGGGGAACTAATGCAATCTTATTTTCATGCTACTTGTTACGCATGTAGTGAAGTACTTTATCTCTGACCCAAGAGCCTCATGTCTTCTGCCAACATCCATGAAGCAATAACAGGCTAAGTTACTAGCTTGTATATAGGGTAAAATCCCAGACCCTGACAGTTTGGGTGACAAGATAGGGTGCTGGCTGAGGTGTGCCTTTCTGGAAGACCCCATGGGCTGTGTTAGTAGGACCCAGTAGCAAATGCCCTCACCAAAGTGGGGAGCAAGGGGGAAAGTACATTTCTCTCACTCTCCTGCCTGTTAATGAATGTTTACAGGCTAAGCAAGAGGCAAGGTTGAAACAATCTTCCCAAATGGTACTTTGATTGTGCTCACTCTCCTCAGGAACAGGAAGAAGGGACTTTATATGACAATTAGGCCGCAAAAGTGGGGAAGCCAAAAGTGGCTGTATCTGATTGGTCAAGGAGTCCCCCCAAAGCTTAAATAATGATGTCATCTGTAAGTAGATACAGCTTCAGGTGGACCAAAGCCAGATGTTCACTTGAATGAGCCCAACCTGCTGGTAGCTGCTTGAAATGGAAAGCTGATGCAAACTGGCTTACTGGCCTGAAACTGCTCTTTCCCTCTGCACTTCCTGACCCTTCCTTTCCCCTGTACCCCAGCCTCAACTGCTTTAAGGAAAATGCTGAGTATGCGGGGGAACTGAAAGGAGGGGAGGAACTCAAATATTTTTAGCTCTGTTGAATATAGGTGCCCAAGTCATAATCCTTCCCAGTCTCATGAATGGAGAGGGTGCTGGGCACAAGGATATCTAAAGGTACTGAGGATTGTAGGGTGCAAGGGAATTTACCCTGAGCCTGGTTGGGAGAGACAAAGGATAAGAAAAGCCATCTTCTCCCCTCATCTGCATCCCCCTTCCAGCAGCTATTGTTACAGTCCTGTTATGCCTGTTAGACTTCTTGGTCCATATTTCTATAGGGCAGTGTTTTTCAACCAGGGTCATTTTGTCCTCTCCTCCCACCCAGGGGACATGTGACAATGTCTGGAGACTTTTTTTTTTTTTTTTTTTGAGACAGAGTTTCATTCTTGTCGCCCAGGCTGGAGTGCAATGGCACGATCTTGGCACACTGCAACCTCCACCTCCTGGGTTCAAGTGATTCTCCTGCCTCAGCCTCCCAAGTAGCTGGGATTATAGGCACCAGCCACCATGCCCAGCTAATTTTTGTTATATAATTATTATTATTTTTTTAGTAGAGATGGGGTTTCTCCATGTCGGCCAGGCTGTTCTCGAACTCCTGACCTCAGGTAATCTGCCTGCCTTGGCCTCCCAAAGTGTTGGGATTACAGGCGTGAGCCACTGTGGTGGGCCTGGAGACATTTTTGATAGTCACAACTGAGCCGGGGGACGATGTGGGGGGTGTTCTACTGGCATCTAGTTGGTAAAGCAGGGATACTGCTAAGTTTCCTACAGTGCTTGGGAACCCCCAGACAAAGAATTAACCACTCCTAAATGTCAAGAATGAACCTCTGCCATGGGGGAAAATGTGCTCCAAATTCAACTGATGGGGTTTGGGCAACATTTTTTCCATGTGGGAGGAAAATTAACGTGACCTTGTAGGACCTTTAGGGCCAATCCAACGTACTGTTTGCTGTGTCTTTCACTGATGAATGTATAATTGGTGTTCATGTTGTACGTGCTTGTGTTGTGAATCCTCATGAAGCCCAGAGGAATTCTTCTATTCAAGGACTGTGGCATGTGGAGGGGTAATCTCTGTCCCCTTCCCAGTAGTATAGCAAAGAGAATATAAAACCTGAGAAGAAATGGAAATTAAAGCTTTAAAGACTTAATGGCTGCAGTATTCAGGAGGCAATTTCCTAGTAACAACTGATGCAAGCACCAAGTACACCTCTTTTAAAAACAGGGGCTTCTGTTGTCCTGTTGCTGAGCTATTGACCTGTATAGACTTTGGGTCAAGAAGCTGAACTGCTGACCCATAGAAGCTTTGTGACTCTGCAGCCTGATGTCTCCATTTTGGAATGGGTTATCTTGGATTTGACAACCTATAAGGAAAAGGCCCGATATATCTCAGTTGTCAAATGGAAATTGTAATATTCAAGGATAGAGTTGGTCTGTCCCCAGTAGCATCTCAGTTTACATGAAAGAGTGGCAGCTATCATTTTAGGGAAAATATTTTCATTACACTGCTTGAAGTAAGGCCACCAGATCAATGAGGCCCTTGATTCACAGTGTTTCTTTCAATGCCTGGGCCTGGTTTACTGATGGTTTGGCTAAGTTGAAACCTGTTGGTGTCCATTAGGCTGCTACAGTAGTCAATTGCTGCTCTGTACATGGCACCCTGAAAACTGATATGCTTGTCCACTCAGTGGGAAGAATTTAAGACCATTCTCATAATTCTGCCCAATACTTCCCACAAAAGCTTATATTTTTACTAACTCTTGGGATATTGCCAATGATCCAGCCATTTGGTCTGCTATATGGCCTGTCACTTACAAGCCTATAGACTAACAGATTAAAGATACTTCTCTCTCAGGAAATGAACTGTGGAAATAAGCCATCGCTGATGATAAAATACCTAGGCCATTCATGTTAGATGATGTTTGTATTAAGAACCCATTCTCCAGTGAGACCTACAGAAATCAAGCTGTTGATCCAGCCTGAAATGTCCAGCTCATTTCTTCTACCACCTTAATCTATCACTGTATTAGACATGGCCACATATATATCATCATTGACTTGGCACAAGATAAAGGGTTATACACTTCTAATGTGGAAGCTACCAGTGTGTGTCAGACTTGAAACTCCTGTCAAGGATTGGCTGGCTGGTCTTGTGGTGAAGGAGGTTGCATTGCACAGGTATGAACTCTGTCCATTCCTGGTACACTGACAGTATCGGACCTTTGACCTCCTTCTGTATCTACTGGTGGTGTCTCACTGCTCTTGATACTTTTCCGCAGTCCAATCAGCCAACTCTGTCTGTACTCCTGTGGCTCTTGAGACTTGATTTTCTGGACCATTTGCAGCCTGACAATGGTACCACTTTTGTGACAAAGGTCACCCAATGATAAGCCCATAATCAAGAATTCAATTCCATGCTCCATCTGCAGGCATCTGATATTGTTATGTATTGACTCAACAATACTTCTCAAGATCCTTGACTTGACTCAAGTATTGACTCAACAATATCAGATGATATTGAATCTGAAATGGATTTCTCACAAATTGACTTAAAAAGATTTCAACTCTACTTTTCTCACCTCCTCCTGTAAAGAGTAGTAAGACAGTATGGTCACTAAATGTGGTTGTCTCCAGAACCATAATGGAGACAAGACGTGGCCAAGGGGTTATTTTCTGGATACTAATCAAAATGAAAGGACAAGGGTTTATATAGGCCTATTTTGAAAATCTGGAATTCTGTACTAACCATTCTTGGACACAATGGATCTTTCTTTACCCTAGAGCAACCCTAGACCAGTGGTTTGTACATCCTCCTACCTTTAGCAGTGTAGCCAAAAGGGATACTATGGAATTAAAATTGATTCTGATTCAGCCATCAGGATTCTCTTTTTGGATTAACACGGTCCAATATGAAGACAATAGTTACCTGGTTGAGTACACTGCTTGCTGGATTAGCCTATGGAAAATGCAGTGGCTTAAAAGAACACAAACTTATTATTTTACACTTCTGGAGGTCAGAAATCTGAAATGGGTTCCATTGGGCTAACATCAAGGTGTTGGTAAGGCTGCATTCCTTCTAGAGTCTCTAGAGGAGAATTTATTTGCCTTTTCTAGCTTCTAGACACCACATGCATTCCTTGGCTGTGGCCCCTTCCTCCATCTGCAAAGCAATGAACATGGCATCTTCACATCTCCGCCTCTGCTCTGTTGCCACTTCTCCTTTTCTGACTCTGATCCTCTTGCCTCTCTCTTATAAGAACCTTTATTATTACATTGGGTTATTCCAATAATCCAGGATCTCTTTCCTTCTCAAGATTCTTAATTTAATCACATGTGTTGTCCCTTTTGCCATGTTAAGTATGGCATCTTTGCCATCTTTGAAGGCTCATTATTCTGCCTTCCACGTCCTTTTTGCTCCTAAACTTTCCAGAGAAAAGGTTTGTATGTAAGTAGATGATTGAAAAAAGGTGAAGTTACAATTACTTGAATGGGACCTGATTTCATGGCACAGAAGAAGAGTAACAACCGTGGCACCTGGGGCAGGAACATCCTTGACTCAGGAGGTACAGGGGTGGGGGCACTTAATAATATCTTTGTCTCCTAGATCCAACACTGGTGTCTGTGTTAAACAGCAGGTGCAGCTGACAATCTGTAGACATGGCTTCTCTTGAATTATTTTGCTGTGCCTGATGTCATGAATAGCAGCTCTCAGCATGGGCCCCTTTTACACATATATAAACACATAGACCAGTACAACATTGTTTCATTCTGTTACAAATTCACATGCTTCTTTGATGCTGAGAGGTCTTGGGTTATGCTGTGTATATAGTAAAGGAGGCTACAACTGCTCAGTGATACTGCCCATGTGACTTAACCAAGCCAAACCGATGTAATGCTGATCCAAATAACATTTTAAGACAAATCCTAATAGGAGTTACCTGTGCCTGTTTGGGTTATACAGTTGTATGTGGCTGAGAATGGGCCATAGAATGTCTCTCTACTGAGGATGGTGTTGGATTTTTGTTCTGTTTAATGCCCCTTGTAATTATTGGCAATGACACCAAAGATCAGGAGGTCAGTGTAAATTCCCTTGTATTGGTTGCAATGGATAATAGACTGGCCATAGGCCAGATTACATCCTGACTGTCTGAAATAAAGTCTCCTGTTCTCCCCTGGGACAGTTGTCTGAGGGCAGAGCCCTGGAAGGAATGATTGAGGCCAATACTGCAGGTTAATTTTATCCTGTTGTTTGGAGTCCCTTTGATGGTAACCTTAATTAAATGCTATATGAGACCAATTGAACAGGTTTAGTTCTAGCCCTGATGGTCAAATTAATCCGAGTGATCAACAGAGTGACATACTTATGTGAAAGTTTATGAGAAGCCAGTACACATAGGGACAGAGGGAGGATTGAAGATAAAGGCAATCTCTCACAGGTCCTGAGTATCTGTGCGCATTTTTGCTGGGTGTGCCAAGAATTCAAGGCCCTGACTGCTCTTTACCCAGGCCATTTCTCAGGGTTGTGTTTTAGTGAGCAACCATGAGGGTTTAAATTTTATAAAGTCAGGTATTTTCTTGAAAATTATTGCATTTGAGAGGGGGCAAGAAGTGAATGAGTATATAGATGAAACAATATTGTCCAAAACTTTATAATTGTTGAGTCTGGATCATGACATAATTGTGGATCATGGATGTGTGTGGGCTTAAAGAGCAGGCTTTCTTACCCCTTACTGTGAAAACAGTGAATCTCCAAGCTCAGTGTTCCCTGGCTGCAACATAAATCCATTGTATGTGTTGCATCCTTCTGGGTCCCTCTGCATCATCCTGGTGGGACTTTGAACAAGGAGACCAGATGCAACATGATACTTATGCTACTTGCTGTGTCATGAGTAATGATGGGACTCATATGACCCAGGAGTCTTGTGTCTTCTGCCAATATCCATAAAATAGTACAGGCTCTTATTAGATTACAAGTAGAGTAAAATCCCAAACTCTGACAGGTATCTGTGTTTTGGTTTTGGCTATGGTGTTTGGTTGAAATCACAAGGCACAAATTTGGCCATGTAGTTTTGTTATTACATTGAGGAAAAAATCAGCTTGTCATGTATCTGCACCAAATTTTACCAACCTGGAAATTTAGAACTTTACTATTTAGTGAATTAAAAATTTTTATTATTATTAATAATAACCATTTACAAAAGAGAATATTTTAATGAACTATGAGACTATAATAATGAACTATAATGAGAATATAATAATGATGTCTATAATAGTTTAAATATTACTCATTTTCAACAATTATCAACTCATTGCCAATTTTGCTAGTTTTATATATGCCTTCCATACCCTGACTGAAGCACATTTATAGTCATATATTTTATTTGTTATATATTATGTTTTAAAATCATTGACTAGAGTTTTCTTTGTTGTATAGTATCTGTATTCTCCATGTTTTTCAAGACCTATATTGTGAATAGAATATGTAACTTCATTAATAATACAAATAAGCATTACAATTCTCCACCTGAAATATTTTGTAGGCAACCAAAGCTGTATATAGTGGCAAATGTATAGCCTTAAGTTCTGTAGCTATTTAAAAAAAGAGAAACTAATGAAGTTAGAAAAAAACTAAGGGAAATATAAATTAGTATCACAAAATATCAATGAAGTAGAAAATATATAGAATTGACACTAATTCTGAGAACAATATCTTTGGAAAAAACATTGAAATATACAAATCTCTGACAAGTTAAATAAAAATGGGTTTAAATATGTGAACATTTATTGAGGTATATAACTACAAATATGACTGTTAGAAAACTTAATGTAATACTGTGAAATACTCCATGCAAATAATTTTGAGACTTACAAGGAGACAGACCATTTCCACAAATATATATATAAAACTTATATCCACGGTAGATTCTACTCCTCAGAGATTCAGTTGATTTTGTTTCAGGTGCTGACTTCTGTTCTTTGTTACAGTCTAAAGTCCTCCTCATGCTTAGGGATTTTGTGTCCTCTTCATATTTTTCTGAGCAACCGCATTCCTGCATCCCTGTAGGCTGTCATTATTGTCCCAGCAATATCCGACATGGGTCAATTTGTCTCCTTTCCTGGTTCTACATGGAAACCACTTGTATTAGGCCATTCTTGCATTGCTATAAAGGAAAATCTGAGATTGGGTAATTTATAAAGAAAAGAGGTTTAATTTAGTTGGCTCACGGTTCTGCAGGCTGTACAGTAAGAATGGCGACGGCATCTTCTTGGCTTCTGAAGGAAGCCTCAGGGAGCTTTTACTCACGGCAGGAGGCTAAGCAGGGGCAGGTATGTCACATGGCAAGAATGGGAGCAAGAGAGAGAAGGGGGAGATGCCACACACTTTTAAACAGCCGGATCTCACAAGAACTCACTCAGTATCATGAGGACAGCATCGAGCAGATGGCTCTAAGCCATTCATGAGTAAACCATACTCATGTTCTAATCACCTCCTACCCGGCCCTAGGACAGTGGGGATTACAGTTGCACATGAGATTTAGAGGGCACAACATCCGAGCTATATCATATCATATCACAGTAAGGCACTAGAGCAGGGGCTGGAAAACTTTTTCTGTAATGGAGCAGATAACAAATATTTTAGTCTTTGTTGGCATTACAGCTTCTCTTCCTCCTCCCTTCTCCTTCTCCTCCTCCTCCTCCTCTTCCTTCCTTTTCGTCTTCTTATTTTTACAACCATTAAAAATATAAAAACCTCTTTTAGCTCTCATGATTTATAAAACAGGTTACTGGCTGTATTTGACCTATGGGCAGTAGTTTCTGACTCCTGTACTAGAATATAGTGGCTAAAAAATACAGGCCCTAGAGCCATGTTGTCTTTAAATCCTGGGTTTGAATCTAGGATTTGTAGTTGTGTAGTAGTTGTGTCACATGTAAAAAATATTTGACATCTCTGTACCTTAATTTCCTCACCTAGAAAACAGTGGTAATAATAATTTTTACCTCATAGAGTCGTAATGGAGATTAAATAGGCCAATATGCATACTATGTTCAGAAGAGTAACTGGCACATAGTAAGTGCTCATTAGATGTCAGTTATTATTGTAAAGCCTTTTATTTTGTATAGACTATTTCTCTTCATTACAAGAGTAATGGGAAAGGGTCTAATCTCATACTACATAGCTGTCTACCATCTTTTTCTTTCTCATTTCTACTCTCTTTCTCCCTCCTTACTTTCTTTCAGGTGTAACAAAGAAATTCCTGTTTTTTGTTTGTTTGTTTGTTTGTTTGTTTGTTTGTTTTGTCAGGCATGATTGTTCTTTCTGCAGTCAGGCTTGCTTACAGTCTTACATTCTATACAGAGCAGGCCTATTGATTTCATTCTGTCTCTAAGAAAAATTCATCTGAATGCATTTCTTTCCTTCACAGGATTACATATAAATTACCAAAAGATGACTGTAAAAGAAATGGAAAACCTGGCTAGTACAAAAATCATGCAAGAAATAGGAAGAATTATCAAAGAGTTACATCCAAAAATGTTTTTAACCCAGATGATTGAGACTTTTAAACTGACTTACTATTGGAAAATGTCAAACTTATAAAAATAATAATCATATAATAAAGTCCCATGACTCAGATTCCACAATTATAAACTCTTGGACAGTATTGTTTCATCTATACTCTCACACAGTTCTTTCCCCACATCTGATAATGAAATATCTGACTTCCTTGCTTTTTATTTTTTTGAGATGGCATCTTATTCTGTTGCCCAGGCTGGAGTGCAGTGGTGCAATCTCAGCTCACCGCAACCTCCACTTCCTGGGTTCAAGTGATTCTTCTGCCTCAGCCTCCTGCATAGCACCTGCCACCACACCCAGCTAATTTTTGTATTTTTAGTAGAGATGGAGTTTCACCATGTTGGCCAGGCTGGTCTCGAACTCCTGACCTCAGGTGATCCACCCGCCTCAGCCTCCCAAAGTGCTGGGATTATAGGTGTGAACCATCATGCCCGACCTTGACTGAATATTTGTATCCACAAAAAATTTATATGTTGAAGTCTAACCCCCAATGTGATGGAATTTGGAAGTGGGGCCTTTTGGAGGTAATTAGGTCATAAGGGTGGAGCACTCACGAATGGGCTTAGTGCTTTTAAGATGAGGCCAGAGGGTGAGCTTGCCCTCTTTCTGATGTGTGAGGATACAAGGAAAGGCTGGCTATCTGCAACCCAGAAGATGACCCTTTGCAGAACCCAACCAGGATGGCATTGTGATCTTGGACTTTCAGTCTCCAGTAATGTCAGAAATAAATGTTTGTTGTTTAAGCCACCCAGTCTATGGTAATTTGTTATGAGAGCCAGAACTGGCAAAGATAATGTACACTAAACAGTAGGCCCTGGCCCTCTGTATTCATGGGTTCTTATCCATGGATTTTGCATTTGTGGGTTCAACCAATCATGCATTGGAAATAGTCAGAAAAAAATGAGTGGTTTTGTCTGTACTGAACATGACAGATTACTTTTCTTGTCATTATTACCAAATAATACAGCATAACAACGATTTATATAGCATTTACATTATATTAGGTATAAGCAATCTAGAGATGATTTAAGGTATGTGGGAGGATGTATGTAGGTTATATGAAAATACTGTACATTTTTACATGTCTCATTTTTGCATTAGAGACTTAAGCATTCATAAATTTTGGTATCCAAGGAGTGTTCCTGGAATTAATCTCCCACAGATACTTAGTGATGACAATATTTTGTTTTATTTTTTAAAATTAAAAAATTTGTTACAGCCATAATGCTTGTATTTTTATTATTTATTTATTCACTTATTTATTTTAAAGACAGGGTCTTGCTGTGTCACCCAGGCTGGACTTCTCAGTGGCGCAGTCATGGTTTGTTGTAATCTTGAACTCCTAGACTCAAGTGATCCTCCTATCTTAGCCTCTGGAGTGGCTAGGACTACAGGTGCATGCCACCATGTCCAGCTAATGTTTTTGTAGAGATGGGGTCTTGCCATTTTGTCTAGGCTGCTCTCAAACTCCTGGCCTTAAGTGACCCTCCTGCCTCAGCCTCCTGAAGCACTGGGATTATAGGCATGAGCCACCGTGCCTGGCCTGTATTTTGTTTTAAAAACATACCCACAACATTGTCACATTAACAAAGTTAAAAAAAATTCTAAAATATCACCAAATACCCTATATGCGTTCAAATTTCCCCAGTTATTTTATAAATTTTAAGATTTTTTTTGTTTAAGTCAGTATTGAAAAAGTTCTATAACCTTTTCTCTGTTAATTTATAGGTTTACGTTCTCTTTTTCTTGTTGAATAAATATTTTTTAAGGAAATAAATGTTTGTAGTATAGTGTTCTACCATTTGTATTTGGCTAAGTGTGTCTTTATAATGTTATTTAATATGTTCTTCTGTCCCCTGTAAATCAGTGCATGTATCTTGAGACTTGATTAGATTCAGGTTCAATATTTTTCACAAGAATGCTTTACAGATAATGTTGTATACTTACATCAGGAGACACATAATATCTCATTGTCTTTTTTTGTGATCTGAACAAACATTGGCGAGCATTGCCTAGACTCATTAATCATTAGGGTCACATTGGAAGATATTCTAATTTTGTAATTTCTCATTTATTTCTTCTGTAATTGAAAAGCTTTTCTTCATTAACTACGTGGTTGCCCTTAGGTTTAACTCCCACAGAAAAAGCAAGATAAATGCTTGATTCTCCCCCCTATTCCTTATTTATTTATTTATTTATTACTAGTTTTCAAAATAATTTGGGTCTCTATCATTCTCCAAAAAGACCAATTATTTGTTTTTTCTTAATATCATTATAAACTCATAGATTTAGACATTTTCTTTGTTTAAAATTCTTGCATTTTATTTATTTATGCTTAAATTAGTCTATCTTTGGTCAGTGGGACTCTCTTCAAGTTGGCTCCTGAGTTCTTCTGGCATAACCCAGTTGTCCTTGATAACTTTCTACCTTATTGGTATAGCAAGAGCTTCCTCACTCGTTTTGTATTAATACATTTTCTGCTTTAGACCTAGGACCTGCCATTTCTCAAAGAATCCCTCATTCTTTTTAGTGATAAATGGTATTTAGAGACTGTGATCCGGGCACTAGGGGTGCTCAGTGCTATTGTGTTCATCTGTAAAGAAATAATGCCTTTTCAGTGAATTGCTTTTGCTTGTGGATTTCTTTGTTTATAAAATATATCATGATTTCATACCAACACACCTGATTCAAATTTAGGATTTATTTAATTTCAACTTCTTATTGCTATACCTCCTTTCTCCTATTTTGAAAATCCTGCTCCACAATGGTCTTGACATAAATAATCACTACTTTGTACCATATTATGTGCACAACAGTCTAAGAATAGAATTACCATCAATAATGGTGGAATCCCTAATAAGTTACAAGTACAATAAAACAAATCACATGGTGGTATCACGTTATGATTTTGATTTGCATTTCTCTGATCGTTAGTGATGTTGAACATTTTTCCATATATGACCATATATGACCAACAATATAATTATTTAAAAAATGCTCTGTATATATTTTTTGTACTTCTTGTTGTACTTAGGGTATATCCTTCTAAGAATGTACAGCCATAACTGTTTTATCTTCCATTTTTTTTTTGAGACAGAGTCTTGCTCTATTGCTCAGCCTGGAGTACAGTGGCAATCTCAGCTCACTGAAGCCTCCGCCTCCCAGGTTCAAGCAACTCTCCTGCCTCAGCCTCCTAACCAGCTGGTATTCCAGGCATGCGCTACCATGCCTGGCTAATTTTTGTATTTTTAGTAGAGACAAGGTTTTGCCATGTTGGCCAGGCTGGTCTTGAATTCCTGGCCTCAAGTGATCCACCCACCTTGGCCTCCCAAAGTGTTGGGATTACAGGCGTGAGCCACTGTGCCTGTCCAGCTGTTTTTTAAAGTACTAGAAATAGTTTCTGTCTGTATGGTTATGCCACTAACTCAATATTTAGTTAGATTAATTTGTTTTGTTATACCTGTAACTTATTAGGGTTTCCACTTTTAAAAAGTTAATTTTATTTATGATTATATAAATTATTTTTATGGTTTCAAAGTCAAATCTATTAAACAAGGTACATTCAGAGAAGCATGGCTTCTATCCCAATCTTCTTCAACCTGTTCTTTCCTACCTATAATGGGTGTCTTTTTTTTAATCCTTCCATTTAAGTAAACAAAAGCAAATATGTGAATATACTCATATTCTTCCCTTTCATAGACAAACAGCAGCATACTACACATATTCTCTCTCCCTTTTTTTGCCTAATCACATATCATGGAGATCACTCCATAGAAGTATAGAGAACCATTTCTATGTTCTCTATTATGTGCATTTACCATTGATAGACATTTTGTTTCCAACTTTTGCTATTATAAATAATGCTTCGAAGAAAATCTTAGAGCATTTTTTTGCATAAAGTTTTAGAAATGGTACTGATGAGTCTAAGGGTAAAGTCATATCAATATTGCTAGATATTGCCAAATTCTTTTCTGTGTCAGTTAGGGTCAAATTCAGAAACAGAAACTGTTCTGGTTATTAGAACCAATAGAATGTATTAATTAATTTATTTTTAATTTCAATAGGTTTTTGGGGAACAGGTGGTGTTTGGTTACATGAATAAGTTCTTTAGTGGTGATTTATGAGATTTTGGTGCACCTATCACCCAACCAGTGTACACTACACCCAATATGTAGTTTTTTTATCCCTCATCCTCCCCAGGCTTTCCCCTGAGTCCCCAAAGTCCATTATATCATTCTTATGCCTTTGCATCCTTATAGCTTAGCTTTCAATTATGAGTGGGAACATAAAATGTTGGGTTTTCCATTCCTGAGTTACTTCACTTAGAATAAGAGCCTCCAATTCTATCCAGCTTACTGCAAATGCCATTATTTCATTCCTTTTTATGGCTGGGTAGTATTCCATGGTATATATCTATATCTATATCTATATCTATATCTATATCTATATCTATATCTATATCTATATATCACATTTTCTTTATCCACTTGCTGATTGATGGGCATTTGGGCTGATTCCATATTCTTGCAATTGCAAATTGTGCTGCTATAAACATGCATGTGCAAATATCTTTTTTGTATAATGACTTCTTTTTATTTTTTGAGACAAAATTTCGCTCTTGTCACCCAGGCTGGAGAGCAGCAGCACGATCTTGGCTCACTGCAACCTCTGGCTCCTGGATTGAAGAGATTCTCCTGCCTCAGCCTCCTGAGTAGCTGGGATTACAGGCACGCACCACCATGCCCGGCTAATTTTTGTATTTTTATTAGAGACAGAGACAGGGTTTCACCACGTTGGCCAGGCTGGTTTTGAACTCCTGACCTCAAGTGATCCGCCTGCCTCAGCCTCCCAAAGTGCTGGGATTACAGGTGTGAGCCACTGCACCCTACCAATGACTTATTTTCCTCTGGGTAGATACCTAGTAGTAGCACTGCTGGATCAAATGGTAGATCTACTTTTAGTTCTTTAAAGAATTTCCACACTGTTTACCATAGTGGTTGTACTAGTTTACATTCCCACCAACAGTGTAAAAGTATTCCCTTTTCACCACATCCATGCCAACATCTATTATTTTTCGATTTTTGATTACGTCCATTTTTGCAGGAGCGAGGTGGTATCACATTGTGATTTTGATTTGCATTTCTCTGATCATTAGTGATGTTGAGCATTTTTCTATATGTTTGTTGGCCATTTGTATATTTTCTTTTGAGAATTGTCTATTCATGCCTTTTGCCTGCTTTTTAAATGGGATTTTTTTTTCTCGTTGATTTGTTTGAGTTCTTTGTAGATTCTGGATATTAGTCCTCTGTCAGACGTATAGATTGTGAAGATTTTCTCCCACTCTGTGGGTTGTCTATTAATCTGTTGATTATTTCTTTTGCTGTGCAGAGATTTTTTAGTTTAATTAAGTCCTATCTATTTATTTTATTTTATTTTTTGAGATGGAGTCTCTCTCTATCCCCCAGGCTGGAGTGCAGTGGTGCGATCTTGTCTCACTGCAACCTCTGCCTCCTGGGTTCAAGCGATTCTCCTGCCTCAGCCTCTCAAGTAGCTGAGATTACAGATGTGTGCCACCATGCCTGGCTAATTTTTTGTATTCTCTACTAAAAGACAGGGTTTCACCATGTTGGTCAGGCTGGTCTCGAACTCCTGACCTCAAGTGATCTGCTTGCCTCAGCTTCCCAAAGTGCTAGGATTACAGGCATGAGCCACCATGCCCAGCCTATTTATTTTTGTTTTTGTCACATTTGCTTTTGGGCTCTTGTTCATGAAGTCTTTGCCTAAGCCAATGTCTAGAAGGGTTTGTCTGACGTTATCTTCTAGAATTTTTATGGTTTCAGGACTTAAATTTAAGTCTTTGATCCATCTTGAATTGATTTTTGTATAAGGTGAGAGATGAGGATCCAGTTTCATTCTTCTACATGTGGCTTGCCAATTATCCCAGCACCATTTGTTGAGTTGGGTGTCCTTTCCCCACTGTATGTTTTTGTTTGCTTTATTGAAGATCAGTTGGCTGTAAGTATTTGGCTTTATTTCTGGGTTCTCTATTCTGTTCACAGCTGAGATTGACATGGGAAGCCCTGTGCACTGGGGACCCAGACCTTGAAAAAGAAGGGTGGCCAGCTGATACTAATGTCTCTGTGGTGGATAGGGGTTTACAAGTGCAAGAAAAACTAAAAACTGGATATTGCTTTGAATATCTGCTGTGGGCAGATATTGCTGCTGTCAGGGTGAAAAGCATTGCAGGACTCACTCATGGAAATTGCAAGCAGACATGAAGTCCAAAGGAAACAGAGCGGGAGGAGCAAGTCCCTTTGTCTTCCTCTAGTCTCTCAGGCTCCTGGTGCTTCTATTGAAGGAGCCTAATTCAGAGCCATGTGACAAAGCAGAAAGATAGTTTGAGAGTCCTGGTCCTTGCATCAAAAGCAGAGTATAAAAGGATAGATTTGGAACTGAGAGGCAGCAATTTAATAATCTCCATGGATATGTTCTCCAGGGGTATGGTAGCATTATTATTTTTCAAGTGACAAGTAAAAATTGTGTAAATTTATGGTGTACAAATGATGTTTTCATATATGTATACATTGTGGAATGGCTAAATCAAGCTATTTAGGCATTACTACACATACTTTTTTTGTGGTAAGAATGTTTAATGTCACTCTCTTAGAAATTTTCAGATGTATAATACATTGTTATTACCTGTAGTCACCATGATGTGTAATAGGTCTCTTGAACTTATTCTTTCTAACTGAAATTTGGCATCCTTTGACCAATATCTTCCCAGCCCCCTGGTAACCATCATTATACTCTCTTTCCATTAGTTCAACTTTTTTGGATTCCACATATAACTGAGATCATGCAGCATTTATCTTTCTGTGCCTGGCTTATTTCACTTAATGTAATATCCTCAAGGTTTATCCATGTTGTTCCAAGTGACGGCATTTTCTTCTTTTTTTTAAGACTGAATAGTATTCCATGGTGTATATACACCACATTTTCTTTATCCATTTTTCCACCGATGAGCACTTAAGTTGATTCTTTATCTTGGCTATTGTGAATAATGTTGCAATGAATGAAAGGGTGTAGATATCTCTTTGAGATCCTGATTTCATTTCCTTCGGATATATAGTAGTGGGATTGCTGGATCATGGGGTAGTTCTATTTTTAGTTTTTTGAGAAACCGTCATACCATTTTCTACAATGGCTATGCAGATTTATATTTCCACCAACAGTGTACAAAGGTTTTCTTTTCTCCATGATGTGGTGGTATAATCATGCATGCCCATCACTAAGTGTGGGAGTGCCTGTTTCACTACGTCCTTAGCAACAGAATGTTTTGTTAAGCAGTTAGATTTTTGCCATTAGATGTTTCCTTTAAACAACAGTTATTTATCATGCCTTGTAAACAGTTCCACAGAATAGAAAATGATGGAAATTATAATAGCGCTCACTGCTTTTATGCTTATCATATATAATGGCATTAATAATGCTTGTAAAACACTTCACAACTATACAGAAATACAGCTGACACAGACTAATGAACAACTCTATGACCAAGGATAAATGATGGTGCAAGGTAGCTTAAACCATCTGTTAGCAACAGTGATATACTTTCGGGGGAGCCTTGCTCTGTTCCCAACAATTGAAGTAGAGAAACTTCTGTATTTTTATCTTTTTGAATTTTATAGTTTGTTTCACTCAGATTTAAGCCTAGAACAACTTTTGGTATAAAATGAGGCTCCTTGTTAAAAACTTCTTATTCTTTGCTTATTTTAAGATTAACTACAAAAATCAACATGTAGAAAATACCCCCATAGGTTGTTTCCATTTAATATGTACTTTTGACATTCATAAATATTTTTTACAAAAGTTGGTTTGTCATTTCAAATTTTTATACCTTTACTAATGAAGTAATTGTTTCTTATCTCTAGTTTCCTGAATCCGATATTCTTTTTAGAAAACATTTACTTTTCTAATTTTTATTTATATTAGAATTCTAAAGAATTGATTAAGTTGATTCTTTATCTTGGCTATTGTGAATAATGTTGCAATGAATGAACGGGTGTAGACATCTCTTTGAGATCCTGATTTCATTTCCTTTAGATATATAGTAGTGGTATTGCTGGATCATGGGGTATATAATAATATAAATAATTATTTACATTAGAATAATATATATAATTATTCATATTACTTATTAAATAATAATTATTAAATAATTATTATATATAATAATCATTTATATATAATTATCATTTATATAATTATTTATATTATGTTATAATATAAATAATTATTTATATTATATTATGTTATAATATAATTATATATATTATATTATAATATAATATAAATAATTATTTATATTACTCTAATATAAATAATTATTTATATTACTCTAATATAAATAATTATTTATATTACTCTAATATAAATAATTATTTATATTACTCTAATATAAATAATTATTTATATTACTCTAATATAAATAATTATTTATATTACTCTAATATAAATAATTATTTATATTACTCTAATATAAATAAAATATTAGCTAGGCATCACAGTAGTTAAAATATATTGAATATGAAAATATGCTCCCTGCTGGGGAACACCACTCAGAGACACATCTCCTTACATTCTAGACACATTCTCTATTGAGTTTAGAAATGTTTGATTGAAATCTGTAAAGGTTAAGTCATCATATTAATAGCAGTGCTATTAACAATCACAAAATTAATGGGAATAATAATGAGCCCTGGTGTGTAAAATGCCATAGTTAGCATAAACACCATAATGCCTCTGTGTATGACATTTTTGTATTGCCACAGGGAAAAGTTCAGTGAGCTAGTTCCCCAAGTACAGCCAATACATTATTACTGCAAATAAACTGCTCATTATCTAAGATGTTTTGCAACTTTTGGAGAAGCAAAATGAGGCATTCCTGAAGGAAATATTTGTTGTTGTGTTGTAAAATATAAAAGTGATTTTTAAAGAGGTGAAATTAAGAACAGTTCTATACATCACATTCATTATCATTTTAAAGTAAAACATGTTCACTGCAAAAACTTTGAAAATACACACGTGCACACATACATATCCACCACTGAAAACTACCCATAGTCCTACCACCCACGGGTGATGTATCACTGTATAAATTTAGTTCTATCAGTCTCTGTCCTAACTCGGTAAGTGGGGAACACACAGTTGGTAGTTTCATATGTTGCATTTTCAAAATATAACATCAAAAACTTTTCTCAGGTCACCGAAAGTTAATTAAAAACATGATTTTAGTATTATTGCATTGTCTTTATTTAACCACTGATAGCCCCTGGTTTTTAGCTACTCAAATTGCCCTCCAGAAAACTTTTATCAGTTTAAATTTTCACCAGCTGGGACAGAGTAGCTGTCTTTCAGAATCCTTCACAACTCTGGATATTATTATTGGTTTTTTGTTAACTTGATGGGATAAATCGATAATTGATACTCATTAAATATTTATATTTTTTGAATACGAATTTGTAAATAAAATTATAAGACTCAAATATGCTTGATGTAGCCATAATTGAAATTATAGTTGAAATCAGACAAATGAAAACGTGCACATACAAACATTTGTACATGAATGTTAATACCAGCATTATTTATAATGGCCAAAAAGTATAAACAACTCAAATTCCCACTAACAGATGAATGGATAAATGTGGCATATCCATATAATGAATATTTTTTGGCAATAAAAAGGAATAAAGTACTGCTACATGCTATACCATGAATGCACCTTGAAAACATCATGTTAAGTGAAACAAGCCAGTCACAAAGGACTATATATTTTGTGATTCCATTTATGAAATATCCAGAACAGTTAAGTCCTGGACAAAATATTAGCCAATTTAATCTATCAATATAGGACAGTATATAATGAACAAAGAGGTTTATCTCAGGAAAGCAAGGCCAACTCAACAATTGAAAAATCAACCAGCATTTCACTATATCAACAGACTAACAAAGACAAACTATAGGCTAGGCACGGTGGCTCACACCTGTAATTCCAACACTTTGGGAGGCTAGGGAGGGCAGATTGCTTGAGCCCAAGAGTTTGAGACCAGCCTGGGCAATATGTATCTCTACAACAAACCACAAATTAGTCAGGTGTGGTGGTGTGTGCCTGTAGCCCCAACTACTTGGGAGGCTGAGGTGGGAGGATTGCTTGAGCCCCAGAGGTCAAGGCTGCATTGAGCCCTGATCGTACCACCACACTCCACCTGGGTGGCAGAGTGAGACTCTCTCTAAAAAAAAAAAAAAAAAAAAAAAAAAAGAAAAACTAATTACTTCAATAAATGCAGAAAAAGAATCTGACAAAACTCAACATCCATTCTAATAAAAAGCTTTAGCAAACTAGGAACAGCAGGAAACATCCTCAGTCTGAAAAAGGGCTTCTACAATAAACTTATGGCTAATAACAAACTTAATGATGAAAGACTGAAACTAGGCAAGGATATCCACTGTCATCACTCCTATTCAACTTTCTTCTAGGTCCAACACAGTAAAATAAGCCAGGAAAAAGGACAAAAATTGGAAAGAAATAAATAAAACTGTATTCTCTTTGCACATGACATAAACAATAATGCAAAAAATCTCTAAGAATTTACAAAAAGGTTAGTGGAACTAACAACTAAATTAAGCAGGGTTGCAGGATGCAAAGTTCACGTATAAAATTAAATTGGGCTGGGTGCAGTGGCTCTTGCCTGTAATCCCAGCACTTTTAGAGGCCAAGGCTGGCAGATCACTTGAGGCCAGGAGTTAGAGACCAGCCTGGCCAACATGGCAAAACCCTGTCTCTACTAAAAATACAAAAATTAGCTGGGGGTGGTGGCACGTGCCTGTAATCCCAGCTACTAGGGAGGCTGAGGCAGGAGTATTGCTTGAACTCAAGAGGCAGAGGTTGCAGTGATCCAAGATCGCATGACCGCACTCCAGCCTAGGCAACAGAGCAAGACTCCATCTCAATATATAAAATTGCATTTTTATATATTCAATGAACAATTGGAAATTGAAATTAAAGACCAGTATGATTTACAAAATTACACAATACTTAAGGTAAATCTCAAAAAGTGTGGTATTTATATGCTGAAAACTGTAAAACAGTAATGAAAGAAATCAAAAAAGAGATAAATAATGGAGATGTTTATTTATTTATTGAGGGAGAGTGTTATGAATTTGAAGTCTCAACATTGTCAATTCTTTCCAATTTGAACTGTAGAATCAATGCAATTTCAATCAAAATCCTAGGAAAATTTTTTGTAGAAACTGACAACTGGTTCTAAAATTTATATGGAAAGGCAAATGAAATAGAATAGCTATAACAATTTTGAAAAAGAACCAAGCTGAAGCATTCATTCTGCCTGATATCAAAACTTACTGATATGGTTTGGTTCTGTCCCCACCCAAATCTCATCTTGAATTGTAGCTCATATAATTCCCATGTGTTGTGGGAGGGACCTGGTGGGAGATAATTGAGTCATAGGGTGGGTCTTTCCCATGCAGTTCTCGTGATGGTAAGTCTCATGAGATCTGACGGTTTTATAAAGGGGAGTTTCCTGCAAACGCTTTCTTGCTTGTCGCCATGTGAGATGTGCCTTTACTCCTCCTTCACCTTCCACCATTGTGAGGCTTCCCCAGCCATGTGGAACTGTGAGTGAATTAAACATCTTTCCTTTATAAATTACCCAGTCTCAGGTATGTCTTTATTAGCAGCGTGAGAACAGACTAATACACTTACTGTAAAACTATATTAAGACAGTGTGGTATTGGCAAAAGAAAAGACACGTAGATCAATGCAAGAGAACAGACAGCATGGAAATAGACATGTATATAAATAGTCAATTGATTTTCATCAAAGGTACAATTGGAATTCAGTGGAAAAAAAGGAACGACTAGATATCCATATATAAGAAAATCAGCTTTGACCCATACCTCGCAACACAGTAAAATATTAACTCAAAATAGATCATATCCCTAAGTCTAAAATAAAAAACTACAAGACATCTAGAAGAAGACATGGGAGAAAATATGTTGGGTATATAATTCTTAGATTCAACTAAAAGCATAAATCATAAAAGAAAAAAATTGATAAATTGAATTTCATCAAAAGTAAAACTTTTACTCAGTTATAAAAATAAAATGGCAAGCCACAGATTATGAGAAAATATTTGCAAAACTTATATCTGACAAGGGACTTGTATCTAGAATAGATTAAGAACTCTTTCAACTCAATAATGAGACAAATGACTCAATTAAAAAATGGGCAGATTTGAATACACTTTTCACTAAAGAAGATAGACAGATGACAAATAATTACATAAGAAAATATATGAGACAAATAATCACATGACAACATTATTAATCATTGGGAAAATGCAAATTAAAATTCTGAGTATCACAACACAGTCACTAGAATGGCTGATATTTAACAAACTAACCATACCATGTTTTGGTGAGCATGAGGTAGAAGTGGTTTATGATACACCCCTGGTGGGAATGCATAAAGGTACAGCACTTGGGAAAACTGGCACCTCTTAAATATACAGCCATACAACCCAGCCATTCCACTTCTAGGTATTTACCTAACAGAAATGAAAGCATATGTGCATAAAAAGCTTGTACATGAATGTTCATAGCAGCTTTATTTGTAATATCCAAAAGCTGTAAAAAACCCAAGTGCCCATTAATAGATGAATGGATTGAGAATTGTGATATGGCCATGCAATGGAATAGTACTTGGCAATGAAAAGGAATGAACTATTCATACATGCAACAACATGGATGGATTTCAAAATAATTATGCAGAGTGAAAAAAGTTAGACTAAAAATGAATACCTACTGTATGATATCATTTATACAGAATTCTGGGAAATGCAAACAAAGCTGTAGTTAACAGATCAGTGGCTGTCTTGGTAATTGGGGGACAAGAGTGTGACAGAAGGATAGATTACAAGGGCACATGAGGAAACTTTTAGGGTGATGGATACTCCCATTACCTCATTACCTTTGTTGTGATGACGCTTTCACGGGTATGTGCACTTTTTTTTTTTTTTTGAGACAGAGTCTCACTCTGCCACCCAGCCTGGAGTGCAGTGGTGCAATCTCAGCTACTGTAACCTTTGCCTCCTGGGTTCAAGTGATTCTCCTGTCTCAGCCTCCTGAGTAGCTGGAATTACAGGTGCACACCACCAAGCCCGTTTAATTTTTGTATTTTTAGTAGAGATGGGTTCACTATGTTGGCCAGGCTGGTCTCGAACTCCTGGCCTCAAGTGATACACCTGACTCAGCCTCCCAAACTGTTAGGATTACAGGCGTGAGCAATCACGCCCAGCCACATGCTGAAACTCATACAATTATAGTTTCAATGTATACGGCATATTGTGCATTAATTGTCATCCAATACAACTGTTAAAAACAGAGTCCCAAAATATTTTTTAGTATTTATGAAGCAAAAAATTATTTTTACAGGCTTATTAGTCATTAAGATTTCTTCTTATGTAAAATTTCTGATGACTTTTTAAGTGGACAGCTGCAGCACTACAGCCCCTTTCTAAGATATCCCTGAAGGACAGCAGTGAAGGGAAATCCTCCCAGTGGGTGGAACTTGAGCAGTGCACTTGGTTGTGCACTTTTCATGGAAGGAGAAATGGCCAGATGTGCGATTATATACTGATTCATGGGCTGTAGCCAATGGTTTGTCTGGATGGTCAGGGACTTGGAAGAAGCATGATTGGAAAATTGGTGACAACGAAATTTGGGGAAGAGGTATGTGGATGGACCTCTCTGAGTGGTCAAAAACCATGAAGATATTTGTATTCCATGTGAGTGCTCACCAGCGGGTGACCTCAGCAGAGGAGGAGTTTAATAATCAAGTGGATAGGATGACCCATTCTGTGGACACCACTCAGCCTCTTTCCCCAGTCACCTCTGTCATCGCCCAATGGGCCCATGAGCAAAGTGGCCATGGTGGTAGGGATGGAGGTTACACATGAGCTCAGCAACATGGAATTCGACTCACTAAGGCTGACCTGGCTACAGCCACTCCTGAGGGCCCAATTTGCCAGCCATGGAGATCAACACTGAGCCCTCGATATGACACCATTCCTCAGGGTGATCAGCCAGCTACCTGGTGGCAGGTTGATTATGTTAGACCTCTTCTATCATGGAAAGGGCAGAGGTTTGTCCTCAGTGGAATAGACACTTACTCCAGATATGGGTTTGCCTATCCTGCATGCAATGCTTCTGCCAAGACTACCACCTGTGGACTTATGGAATGCCTTATCCACCATCATGGTATTGCACACAGCATTGTCTCTCACCAAGGCACTCACTTTAAGGCTAAAGAAGTGTGGCAGTGGGCTCATGCTTATGGAATTCACTGGTCTTACCATGTTCTCCATCATCTTGAAGCAGCTGGATTGATAGAATGGTGGAATGGCCTTTTGAAGTCACAATTACAATGCCAACTAGGTGACAATACTTTGCAGGGTGGGGGCAAAGTTCTCCAGAAGGCCATGTATGCTCTGAATTGGAGTCCAATATATGGTATTGTTTCTCCCATAGCCAGGTTTCATGGGTCCAGGAATCAAGGGGTGGAAGTGGAAGTGGAATTGGCACCACTCACTGTCACCCCCAGTGATCCACTAGCAAAAATTTTGCTTCCTGTTCCCATGGCATTATGTTCTGCAGGCCTAGAAGTCTTAGTTCAAGAGGGAGGAACACTGCCACCAGGAGACACAACAACGATTCAATTAAACTGGAAGTTAAGATTGCCACCTGGACACTTGGGGCACCTCCTAAGTCAACAGGCTAAGAAGGGAGTTATAGTGTTGGCTGGGGTGATTGACCTGGACCATCAAGATGAAATCAGTCTACTACTCCACAACGGAGGTAAGAAAGTATGCATGGAATACAGGAGATCCATTAGGACGTCTCTTAGTATTACTATGCCCTGTGATTAAGGTCATTGGGAAATTACATCAGCCCAATCCAGCCAGGACTACAAATGGCTCAGACCCTTCAGGAATTAAGGTTTGGGTCACTCCACCAGGAAAAAAAACCACAACCTGCTGATGCTGAGGTGGTTGCTGAAGGCAAAGGGAATACAGAATGAGTAGTAGAAGAAGGTAGTCATCAATACCAGTTACGACCACATGACCAGCTGCAGAAATGGGGACTGTAATTGTCATGAGTATTTCCTCCTTCTTTTGCTAAAAACATGTTTGTGCATGTATACACTTGTACTAAGAAAATATCTGTATTTCCTTTTCCTTTATATGTGACATAAGATTTATTGACTTCATATCAGCATTTAAATATTGCTAACTTTATGTAATAGTATTTGGTTTGGGGATTGGTGCATTTCTGGTTGTATGAAGGATAGTTGTATTACGTTAGGTGTAATTATAACCTTATTATTATCTTTATTTGAAGATTATGTATGATCTCAGGAGAAGTGTATGGGTTCAAGTTGACAAGGGGTGGACTTATGATGGTTAATACTGAGTGTCAACTTGATTGGATTGAAGGATACAAAGTATTGATCCTGGGTATGTCTGTGAGGGTGTTGACAAAAGAGATTAACATTTTAGTCAGTGCACTGGGGAAGGCAGATCCACTTTTAATCTGGTAGGCACAATCTAATCAGCTGCCAGTGAATCTAAAGCAGGCAGAAAAACATGAAAACGCGAGACTGGCCTAGCCTCCCGGCCTACATCTTTCTCCTGTACTGTATGCTTCCTGCCCTCAAATATCAGACTCCAAGTTCTTCAGTTTTGAGACTCAGACTGGCTCTCCCTGCTCCTCAAGCTTGCAGACAGCCTATTGTGGGGACCTTGTGATCATGTAAGTTAATACTAATATATATATTATTATATATTTTATATATTCTAATATATATATTATATATTATATTATATATATTATATATTATATATATAATAATAGATATAATATTATATAATATGTACATATAAAACTAGAGGGGGCTGGAGTTTGGCATTTCCTTTCCCCAAGTAGATTAAGGTGCTGATAGACCCATAGCAGGTCAGGCTGTGGTATAATAGTTTCTTCTGAAGGCAGGCTTTGCTAAGAACAGATGCTCTGGTCTATTTCAAGTGGTGACTTTCCCCCTCCTCCTGCAGGAAGCAAGAGGAAATTTTTCTCCCATATTTACTGTGAGGATCTGGCAAGGCTCTTGGAGGTAAAACCCATAAAAATATGTGACACCCCTTGACTGGTTTCCACTGAATTTTTTAACTCTCAGACTTGCCCAAACTGAGCCTCCCACAGTTCATCAATTCCAGTTCAGGTTTCCTGCCCTGTCACTGCTTCCCATGGAGGCTGCAGCTGGCAGGTTTCTGCTCTAGTGACATGTGATTCTCTGTATCTTCCTGCCTGTCCCTCCAATTTTTGGGGCAATGGTCGGCCCTGTGACTTCATTTCTCTGACAGACCTAAGAAGAGTTGCTAGCTTTTTTACTCTTTAGGAGACAGTGGTGACTTCTAAGCTTCCTTCCTTGCAAGACCCAAAACCAGACTCCAGGAACTTTTTACTGGTCCGTTCAGTGAAAAGCTGTTATTGCTCAGCTCCAAGGCAGTCCTTCTACCCTCTGCCTTGTGTTGCAGTGGCTGGGACTCAGCGCTCTTCATTTCTGCTTCGCTGGCTGCTCCTTGCAAGTCTCCCCCAGTGGGGGCACTAGAGGGAGACTGGGAGACTGGAGGAGGAAGAGGGGACCTGCTTCTTAAAATTTGCTTCCTCTTCCTGTTGGAAGCTTCATAGTCTTCATCAAGATCCTTATTATTTCTTGCTATTTGTGAACCTCCCTGCTTTCAAGTCCTCTTCAATTGTTTCTTCAGGCCAGACATTCCATATGAGAAGGACTGAGAGTTCAAGGTACTTATGGGGAAGTATGACAAAGCCTTTTCTTCTTTTTACAACTACAATTACTATTAAAAATCTGCCATTTATTGTCTACAAAGTGCTAGGTATTTTAAAAAATATTACCTTATTTAATCCTCACCACAATCCTACAAAAGAATTACTGTTATTTTCATTTACATATGAAGTCATGAAGGTAAAGGTAACTTGAGTTGGGTTTTAAGTGCAGGTCAGGGTAATAACACAAGAGGTGTACATATTAGTGAATTTACTATGGATGTGTAAAGTCATACAGAAATTGGAACATCATGGGGATTTTGAAGACATTTTATGGTTTCAAAGATTTCAAGGATGATGTGTTTTGTTTAAGAGAAGGTAGGATTACCTTGTCAGAGGAAGAGAATTAGTTCCTCGAAGGTAGGGATTTGTTGTTGGGTGAGGAATGGCAAGACTGGTTCAGTCTCAATTTTCAGTATTAGTCGAATACATACTTATAAAATTGACTGGCCCTTTGTATACTCATATGTTTTGTTACTTGTAAGCTATTCCAAAGTGAGGATTGAAATGTTGGTGTTTCTAATACTTCACTCAGCCCTTAAACATGATTTAAAATGATTATCATATTCTAAGCTGTTTTAGATTAAATCTTTGCACAATATGGCTTCATACTTTATATCTTATTTTGGAAAATTTGGCCTGGCTTCCCTTGGGAGGTGGAGATGGTGATCCAGGAAGCTTCTGGAAACTTCCTGGTGATATGCATGAATTTAATATCTATAAGTTTATTAAATCCTGAAGGCAAAGGGATTAATGCAAGGGAGATATATTTAATTATTACAGTGGAAACTTTTTGAGAGGCTTAATGGGGGAAAAACTTCTCCATAGACTAACAAGAAAACATTTGATTTCAAGAGATTTATTATTTGCAATATTAAATTGTGCCAATAGATGGAGAAGTTGTTCCACATAAATCAGAAGGCTTGCCTTCTCTTAAGAGGAATAAAGAAATTCAGGTTTCTGGCAAGTTGAAAATGAATTTCCTTAATAAAAATGTGAAGCAGGAAAACTGGGTTACTTATAAATTTTAACAAGACATAATGTTAACAAGGGACAAGAATTTCACTAATTTCAATTAAGTGTACATGAAACTCTTACTGCCTGTACTGTTTTTGAAATTTGGCCATAGCACTTTTAGATAATGTACATTTGTATTTATCTCTGTATTTATACATGGCCTGTACAAAAAGTGTTTTAAATAATGTACAAAACTTTATAAGATAAAAAAGGTAAAACATGCTTAAATTTAAAACAGTAGAGAAAAAAGAATGGGATGAAGTTGGGGTACAAATCTGGCCTGGAGCTTCCCAGCAGTCAATGCAAATAGAGAAACAGGACCAGTTGCATAACCCAATGTCCATAACAGAAAAACAAGCCAGGTGTTAGGAAAGGTACCATATAGTATGAAGACTAGGAATTATATCCTTTAGGAACTTATGAAGGAGATATTGTGTAAGGTGATAAGTAATTTCCTTACATTACACCCAATGATACTTTTCACATGACTGCTTCCTACAGCAGCTGATAGGTAACACCGCAATGCTATTCTGTCAGAAGAGTTTAAGATGGAGGGGGCAGAGTGAGCATTATGCGTCCCAAAACACTTTCTTGGAGTGTAGCTTTCTGATTGTCTAATTTAATTGAAGGATACAATTTAGAACCCATCAATTCTCCATAAATACTATTTTTCTAACTGAGGATTTGATAAAGATGGAAGGTTGCTGTGAAGATTAAATAACATGTTGCATGCAGAACACTTAGCCTGAGCTTTGCAGGTTGTGAAGCCTTGACGAAAGCCGTCCATGACCAGCCTGAACCACCTACTACCCTTGGATGAAGGACACATGATACCTCCTCTGGCTACTCTTGGATATCTGTGTGGTCTCTTACGTACATGGTGTATTTTTCGAGTCATTTAAACTGGGCTCACCTTGCCATCCCCCTCTAGTAGGATTCTCTTCAGCCTCATGTTCACTCCTTCCTCCTGTTCCAGACCTCCACGGCTCCTTTGTCTTGGTGAATTTAGGCTCTCTCTTGTCATCTTTTCTTGCTTAGTCCTTTGCATGCTTTGTTGGGATCCTCACTGTCTCTGATGTTCCAGAGAACATGGCTGCCCTAGACCCTGAAACCCAAACCAGGCTCCCACTGTCTCAACCTTTCTAGAATACTGCTGCCCAGATCGAGTTTCCCTCTCTTTACAAGAAGGAAGGTCTGACCACAGCCATCACATTTTATGGCTTCATTCTTGATCAATTTTCTCTAATTCTAGTGAGTCAGTGACACACGTGTAAATTTCTCACAGCCGCTTCTGGGGCTGGAGGTTTATCTGAGAACATTTCTCCAGCTCTATCCAGCCACCACTTGGTTTATTCACATCCATATTCTTTGCCTTCAAACATGGAATCATTGCAAATTCAGGCTGGAAGTGGCAGAGGTCATTGAGTTCATCTGCCCAACCACACACACAAATGTGCACCTTCCCCACACCCACACCATCTAACCTCCCTTTGTTCTCCATTGCATTGATTGCAAACTCTATCAAAAAGAATGTTGCAGTAATTTTGCATTTTATAGCCTGAGGATATGCTAAGGGTGTATTTTTGCCTATATTTCTGCACACTGGTTGAGAAAATGTGCGCTGAATTCTGTTTTGTTTCCATTAACCTTTCTCTGAGAAATTACTGACCCCGAATATTGGAGCCGCAAATGGATTCTCTTAAGAAGTATCCTGTCAGGATGCAACCTCTGTGTATTATGTGGCTTTTAGTCAGCAAATGCTTCCTCTGAATGCATCGACTCCCTTAAGAAGTATTCATTTGAGTGACTTTCTCTGTATAAGGATTTTTAGAAATATTTTTATCTCTGCTGTCTTAGGAAACCTACATTCAGAAGAATTTATAGTTCACCTATTTCTATAGCTGGCAATAGCTATATAAAAACTTTGCTTGTGATTTTTACTCCTACCTGCTTGAGATTTTCCCAAATCAATTATTTTTCTGATTTCTCCATAGACTCTGTCTTAACCCTGTGCACCCAGTCTTAGGTGAGGTATTTGTATCCTGACATATTTTGCACTTTTCTATCATCCTTGAGAAAATCATGCAAAATTCTTTCCTAGCTCAGTGCAAAGCAGAGTTGTGCCACTATCATTTAGCCTCAACTTAGAGACTGTATGTTGAGATAAAGCAACAACACGATTTTGATCTTATATTATTCAAATGGGACCCGCATGGCCCATTGCAACACTGTCCTGCCCAAAGTTACCATCAGAAAACAGGCCAGGATTGGATATACTTCTAGAGAGCAAATTCCGTGGGTAGCCACAACACGTAATCTTGGATCATTCATCATTTTCCGGCGATGCTGCCAACAACTCAGAACCCTAAAGCAGCAAGCATGTGAAGACTGGTCTCATGGGGGCTTTTCAGTCCTCCCTTCTCTTCTCTTCTTTATTTTCTATTGTGGCAATTTTTTTTTAAAGACCCATTATAAACAGTGCTTTGTTTCTATCCGTGAATACATTTGGAAAATCTTTGGAATCCTGGGCCTACATTTTTTATGTGTGTGCATATGCATGAATGTGTGTTTGTGTGTGTGAGCATTTCTGTGTGAAAATTGGGGGCCAGGGGAGAGACAGCTGAAGTTGGAGACACTGACAATATAATCACACTGAAAAGCAAGTGCTCCCTAAAGTCTTGCTGGAGAGTCAGCCCAGAAAGCAAAAGGAATTGCATTTCAGACCACCCCATCTCACTCTCTAAAATGCTGGCAATGCCCTCAGTTCTAAACCTCAGTTATTTATTTATTTGCTTATTTTGAGATGGAGTTTTGCTGTTTGTGCCCAGGCTGGAGTGCAATGGCATGATCTCGGCTCACTGCAACCTCTGCTTCCTGGCAAAACCTCAGTTATTGGTGACAAGTGAAATAAGGCAGCCTGGTTTCTAGGCATAGCAGATTGGCCTGCAGTGAAATGTCTTAGGAGTATCTTGATCTTTGTCAGAAAGCTAAGCAGAGCTGACTCCAGATGGTACCTGTAGAATAACTGTAATGTTTTTGCACATATTACTTGTATTTGCATTTGTGGGGTATAATCCAAGTTGTGAAGCAACAAGCTAACAGAGGGGCTCTAGGAAAGGCGTTTTAACCCAACAATATCACATTGGTTTTGGCAGCATTGGGAACAGATGAGAGCTGGAAGTCATCAAGGAAGGATGCAGATTGAAAGTCAGGGAGATGACTTTCACCTGGCCAAGGGAATGCGTGATTAGGTATGGCAATAGCTGGCAGTTTCTTCCAGATGGGATAATTTTCTATCATCCTTCATTATATGGAGTAGAGATTTGTCAGTTAATGGTGTCATTGGCTCCTCCATATACCAGGAGTGACTTTAAATGAGTATGTTAGACCAAGGGAAAAAGCAGAGGACCTATGACAGCAGGGTGATGTCTACAGAAAATGAAGCTGAGAAAGCATTCATTGGTTTGCGGGAGGGTGGGGAGGAATAGGGTGAGATGGGAAAGAGGTGCAGTGAACGAAGAGAACCAAAGAAGAAGGGAGAACAAACAGTGTCTCACAAAGAGAAGCAGAAATGAAGATAGAATGAGAAAGACGAGAAATGGGAGAAAAATAATTTCAGACAAGAGACAGAGGGCAGGAAAGAACAAAATTAAACACCTCCAAATAAAGAGATGATACGGTGAATGTGATTTTTTTGTCTTAGCAAGACAAAGATAGTAGTCATGTACCATTACTTAAAAATGATGCATGGTAAGCACCGCATAGAAAACGGTGCTGTGTCTTCCACATTAATAGAAAACTAGTCCAGGCCCAGCACTGGGTGTAGCAGGGTAGCAAAGTGGAGCTGTTTCTGGGAACCCGAAGGCTGCAGTATGGGCACATTTGCTCTGTTCTGAAGAGCTGGTCCTGAGCGCTGCCTGGGGACTGTTTTCACAGGGCCACAGTGAGCCTGGTTTGTGGAGATCTGAGAAGGTTACTCTAGAGCTGTGTTTTTTCTGCTTGGTAGGAGGATGGTGTAGGGGAGAAGGAAAAGAGAAGAAGCAGAAGAGAGGCATCATTTAGCTGATCTTATGTCTTTGTTTCCTCACTTATAATATGGTGAAATCTAATAGTATCTAACTCAGAGAGGTATTGTGAAGAGTAAGAGAGATAATACAGCAAGGTTGCTGGCTCAATAAATGTTAGCTTTATTTTTTTGCACCCACACGTGTTATCTTTAAAAAATGTACAAAATGGCCAGGCACGGTGGCTCATGCCTGTAATCACAGCACTTGGGGAGGCCGAGGCGGGCGGATCACGAGGTCAGGAGATCAAGACCATCCTGGCCAACATGGTGAAACCTCATTTCTCCTAAAAATACACACAAAAAATTAGCCAGGTGTAGTGGCGGGCACCTGTAGTCCCAGCTACCCAGGAGGCTGAAGCAGGAGAATTGCTTGAACCTGGGAGGCAGAGGCTGCAGTGAGCCGAGATCACGCCATTACACTCCAGCCTGGGCGACAGAGCAAGACTCCGTCTCAAAAAAAAAATGTACAAAATATTATTAATATAGTAGTTTTTATTAAGTAAAAATACCAGTTACAAATTCATTCTCATAATCTAAAACACACAACACGCACGCATTGGGAAAGGAGGAATTGCACTAAAATCTTAACAGTGATTACTTTGGGAAAGTGAATCAGCACTACTTTATTTTTTTTCCTATGCTTGTCTGTATTTCGACAGTGAGCATAAGCCAATTTTGTAGTAAGAAACACATTATTCTTTAAAAAGCTGAAAGAGTCAGTCCCAGCAAGGTCTATCTTCTGTCCTCTTTCCCAAACCTCCCAAAATGTAGATGCAACAAGATTCAACATCAGTTATTGTTCTCACCCCTCTGTAAATGTAGATTTATTCTAGGTGGGGGCTTTGATAGTCATCCTACTGGTGCCTTCCTGCCCAGAGAGGAGTGCTTGCATTCTGGGTGAAAGGCCAAAGGAAGTTATTTTATCCTGGTTTGTCACTATGCTTTAAGAAGGCACCTGACGTTTATAACAAAAGACTTTATCTGCTCGTAAGTGTGCTGAATAAAGGAGCCAGAATTTCAGGCACACCTGGATCTGTCATGACTTTACAATATCTGCAATAGGAAGCTTAATTATTTGGATGGCCGTCTTTTTGCATATGGTTTATTAATCTGTGGGCATCGTCGTAAAAATGATGATGCATTTTTTAGCTGAGGCAACCAGAGGCTGGCTTAGTGGAGCAGCTGGTCTAGACTGGAAAGAGTCCCTCTCCAACTGGGTATGCATATGAACCACCTGCGGGTAGCTGGGAGTGCCTGAAAGCAAGCATTTATCAGTGGAGCGGTGCTTTCCCTGGGCTCTGTTTGGAAACAGGAAATGTCATGTTGTGTTTCCATTGCCTCTCTGCTAGAATCCAATGATCAGCATTGTAGGATGTACTGGGATCTGGGTAGTTTCTGGTGGTGATAATGGTTTTAAGGAGCAGGAATGAAGATGGGGTTTGAGAAGGAGGAGGGTAGTGATGGGGTATCCAGTTAGGTTGCCGCAGTCCGGTTGGAAATTGACAGAAACAAAGAAAGAACTTAGATGTCAGTGCCTGTGAATTGCTGTCCATATCAACTTAAGCACTACCTCATATTTTGATCTGCTTTGGCACATTTAGATTTGGGGCAGGGATTTAGCCTTGTCCATGTTGCCAGAGGCTGTGTATGTAATAGAGGCATCACATGCAGTGACAGGTTTGCAGAAAAAGCAACCTTCACTGATACGAGAGATCAAACGAGAGCATTTCCATTGAAAAGTGCAGCACTGGTTTTCTTCCCCTCCACCCCACCGCCCTCAGTGGTAACACTGCTACTCAGAGGCATGTTCAGTGGCTGTCCAAGTGTGGACAATACCTGTGATGCCGATGGATGTTGGACCTAATGTCCCAGGTATCCCGGTTCTTAGGTGGAGAGGCAGCCTGTGGGAGGAAGCTTCCTGAGCAGGGGGCCTCCAGGACTGGGATGCAGAATGCTGACTATTTCCTGAATACAGAGCTTGAATGCAGGCTCCCCAGGTTGTTCCAGCCTTGGGCAAGACTCTGATCCTTTGTCAGAAAGTGAAACTGAAAGCTAAAGCGCAGGGGTTATTCACACCCTTTATTCTTCATTCTTCTGGCTATTGCCAGCTCATCTGAAGGCTTCCAGAAGGCAGAAGGCAGATGAGGGAGGAGAGGAAAGTCGGTGCGTGATTTCCCCTCCTTTTTTGTTAGTGACTCTGTTAAAAGGTATTGTGGTGAAGAAACTAAAAGTAGGAATAAAAAATGTTTAATAATTTGGGGTTTCAAATGATCTTTCTACTTACATTTCTTCTATGACTTATTGCCCTTACCAGTGAACCCCTTTGGATATGTGAGGGACAGGGCCTTTTGCATTGAGTTATATATTTGGTGTGGGAAATTTGAATTAATCTGTTTTCATGTTCAATTAGATTGATGAGCAGTATGGCCACTCAATGTTATTCCATCTTGACTGTTGCTGAGGCCCTTTAAATGTGTCATGAGTTAATTGATTGATAAATCCACATAAAACATTCTGTGTGCCTGCTATGCACCAAACCTGGAGCAGAGATTCAGGTGACCCAGCCAAGTGCAGTTCTGCTTTCATGGAATTTAATCTAATTATAGGGACAGAAAATTAAGCAAACAATTAGGATACAATGTAGTAAGTGCTCTGCTAAGGAAAGTCCCACGTAGAGCACGTAGCAGGGTCCTTGATAGGATCAAGGAAGATATTCTGGAGAAACTGACTTGTGAATCAAGACCTGAAGATAACGTGAAGGTAACAAAGAGAAAGGAGAGACTCGTGTTCCAAGTAGGGGGACCAGCCTGAGCAACACCCCATAATCCCCTTCTACTGTGCATATCTATTTAGAAAGTCATAAGTGACAATGCACTTATGAATTATAAAAATCAAGTTAGAAGATAGTTATTAATAGGTCTCTTATCAAGTAGAACTTCATTTTTCTCCCTCTTACGACGCCTCCCCATTGGACTTTGTGTTGTTGCTACTTGTGTGCATCTCCAGAGGATCTCTGCAGGCTCTGGAAGTCCTTAGTTTTCCTTGCATCTCTCAGGTAGTGGTTTTGCACATGGGCCTGTTGAATGTTGACTCAAAGAATAAACTAATTCAGGGCACATTGGAAATAAAGTCTATGTCCTGAAGCCAACAGGGAAGGCAGCTAATCTTAATGTGTGGTCTTAACCCTTCAGGGCTACCTGGATTGGCCCGTGGCCTAGGTGCAGGTGACCTTTCTGAAGGTTCTGCTTCTTGACGACACTCCTTGCAAATTCTCTCCCTTTTTCCATCAGACTGACTAGGCTTAGCCTGGGCTGAGCACATTGACCTATTCCCTCAAATATCTTTCCTTAGCTACATTCAAGTTGTTCTGATTGCAGGCCCATGCATATCCTTTAGTAAAAGTGAATTTTCATACTCCTCTTTTTCCTCTGTTTTTTGCTAGCTCAACTTACTGGTTTATGCTCAGTTGGCCAGAAGAACGATGGCTGAATCAGCTCTTGATAGTCACCAGGAATTGATATTGCTGTCATTTATGACTTTCTTTCTTCTCTCTTTTCACTGTCTCTTTCTTTCAAGTCCTTATTTCCAGGTTCAACTTGCTTTCCAGTTACAAATCCTGAAAGATTTTTGTTTGTTTGTTTGTTTTTTTGTTTTTGATTTTTTTTTAAGACAGAGTCTTGCTCTGTCAGCAGGCTGGAGCACAGTGGGGCGATCTTGGCTCACTGCAACCTCCGCCTTCCGGGTTCAAGCGATTCTCCTGCCTCAGCCTCCTGAGTAGTTGGGATTACAGGCACGCACCACCATGCTCAGGTACTTTTTGTATTTTTAGTAGAGATGGGGTTTCACCATGTTGGCCAGGATGGTCTCGATCTCCTGACCTCGTGATTCACCCACCTTGGCCTCCCAAAGTGCTGGGAGAAAGAATTGTTTTTAAACACAATTTTTGTTGGGAATGTGATTTCCTCCATAATTATCCCTCCTCATACAAAATGGAATAGAACTCAAAAAGTTTAAAATAACTCCTTTGCTCCTAACCTAATTAGACCTTTTAAACTTCTCTTTATGATTACTAGTCACAGGCAAACTAAGGATGGTATATAGTTACGATTCATTCAACACATTAAAAAATTCCATTTATTTCAACACACTTGAAAGTTTTGTATGCCCAGGCTCTGTGGTAGGTGCTGATGATACAAAGATGAATAAGCAGAACCTCTGCCCTCTGCAGGGGTACACGTGAGTTAAAGATGGTGATGGTGGTGGTGGTGGTGGTGGGGTGGGCTGGGAGTGGGGTGTGTGGATGAGAAGGTCCCAGCATGAAGATTTTTGTGCAGCAGTTCTCCATGACACCAAAAGGGAATAGAGCCTTTATTCAGAAGTTTCTTAGATAATTTAGATAGAAAATAGGACCCAGCCCTTTGGGAGATTATAAACTGTTTCCCAACTTCCTTTTTTGCAAGTGGTTATGAAGCTATTTATATTCTTTCAGATTGGGTTCTCTTTGGGCCCTGGACTGGGTGAGGCTGATGTTAGAGGTTAAACTGGGGTAGGCCTGAGGTATTTGGGGAGACTCACACCTTCCAGGTTTTAGACTGGTTCTCAGTGACTTGAAAGAATTGATATGCCTCCAAAGAGAACACCTGGATAATTTTGCCACTTTCAAGTGGGTTTTCAAAATCCTCAGTCATCTGGGGTCTATCACTTTGGAATTTGTGGTATTTGGGAACAATTTAGGGGAATTTTTATTTTTACATTCTCTGTGACAAAAGGGACTCATACACAGATAATATTGGAAATATATGAAGGATTAATAAACTGTATTTAGCAATTCCAGAAGCATGTACAATTGACATACTAATTAGAAATAATACCTATCTTTTCATGAAGTCAGCTTCTTAACTAGTATTCATGTTATAATATATAATATTACATATTATATATATATGTATACACACACACACACACATATATATATATATAGTTAAAACGTCCTGGTGCCAGCTTTTCACCATGGGGGACTTAGGATAACTTGTGCTGATTTTCAGGCTACAAATCACCTCTGTGTTGTGCAAAGGGACAAATTAACCATGACACAAATCTAATGGGTTGTTTATTTCCAGAAGTAGCAAAAGCTAGAAAACCATGGCAACCAGTGTAGTCAGAGATATGTGAAAGGGTCTTATATTCTTGGCAAAAATGAATTTAAAAAAAAGGTGCAGAAAGTCCTGAAACACTAACAGTTGTAGGCAATTTAACTTTTCCTTTTTCACTCTGGTAGTAGGTTATTTGTTGCTTCCACGGCAACACTTATTTTAAAGTTCTAAGCTCAGTGGCAGAGGCTCAGTCAAAAAGCCCATGGAATGTTTTATAGAGAAGGCTGTGGTAATGATAGTGTATCAAGAAACTACAAAGAACTCAATGGGTACCGTGTGCCTTTAGCCACATTCTTTCCTTATGAAAGTCATCTCTTAAGATCTACATGAACTCCATTAGGCCATGAGAAAAATTACTGCACCAATTCTATTACTGTCAAAAAACTTAGCTGCTTAAAGCTGAGTTTGTGGATGGTGAAATTGCTACTTGGATGTTGTACTGTTTTCAGTTATTTTATAAACCCATTGATGCTTAATCAACCAGAGCAATCTGCACGTATTTGGGCAACAATAATGGTGCAACTTTCTAATTCAAAACAGCTGGAATCATAAAATGTAAAGTATAGAAGCAGCTATTTTGCTGTCTGGTTATTGCTATTGAGACCAGGTGGTTCAATCAAAGGCAGGAGGAAAGGGCTTAGAAGTCTCCTTCTTTTCCAGAATTTCCCAGCTCTAATTCATTTCTGGGATAAGGTGTTTGTTTCCAAAAAGCTCCATTTAAAATGTACCCAAATTCTTGAGCTGAAGTAAACTTACACTTTAAACTATGAGCCACAGAACTCCTGGGCTTCCACCTCTGGAGGAGTGGCCACAGGTCAAAAGGAACACAGAAAGGTGAATGTGGAGGGAAGGTGCAGTGACACAGTAAGTAGTGGTGGGGAAGAGAGCGTTGGGAAAGGATTTTGATGTGAGGGCCAGGCATCCTGGGTGGGTAGGCGTGACTGAGGCAGCTTAGGGCAGCCTGGGAGCCTCAAATACCCTTTGATGGGATCTAAGGGTATTAAAGTGTTAGCTTTCATGGTTTTGTGGAGGACTGACCTGGCTACAGCACTTCATCTGTGGGCCCCATTGAGGTGCGGAAGAAGGAAAGGAGCTGTTCCAGCTGCTATAGCTGACTAAAAAACGTCCTAAAATGCACTGGCTTAGAACAATGACATTTATTTAACTCGTGGATCTACAGGTGGAGCAAGACACAGGTGCTATTGTAACTCATGCAAATGCTGATCAACTGTCACTATAGATTAGTTTGTATTTTCTAGAATCTAAAATAAATGGTATTATACAGTAAGTACTCCTTTTTGTCTGGTTTCTTTTACTCAGTGTAAATATTTTGATATTTATCTATATTGCTGTGTGTATCAAGTGTTCATTCCTGTTTATTGCTGAGTGGTATCCTATTGTATGGATAGACCACAGATTGTTTATTCCCTTGTGGATAGACATTTGGGCTATTGTCAGGTTTTGGCTATTATAAATAGAGCTGCTATAAATAGTTGTACACAAATCTTTGTGTAAACATATATTTTAATTTTAGGAGAGGAATGGCTGGGTTATATGGTAGGTATATGTTTAACTTTTTAAGAAATTTCCAAACGGTTTTCTATGGACTAGTTTGCATTTTCTAGAGTTTTATATAAATGTGATCATCCAGTATGTGCTTTTTCTGTTTGGCTCTTTTTACTCAGCAGAATTGCTTTGAGATTCATCCACGTTGTTGCATATATTAGTAGTTAGTTATTTTATTGCTGAGTAGTATTCTAATGTATTGATACACCACAGTTTATCCATTTACCTGCTGATGGACCTTTGGCATGCTTCCTGTTTTTGGCTACTACAAGTGAAACTACTATGAACACTTGTGTGCAGGTTTTTGTACGGACACATATTTCCTGTTCTGTGTGCAGCTGAATCATCTATGGAAAAGGTGAATTCTTCTGCTTTAAACATCAGGACTCCATCTGCCAGGTGCTGCCACTATTTCTGTCAGCAGCAGGCTGTTAATGATGATCTTTGTGTTAGGGCTCTCTAGAGACACAGAATATGGGTATACATAGATAGAGATATAGATAGACAGACACATGACGGGATTTGTTAAGGGAACTTGCTTATGTAATTTTGGAGGCTGAGAAGTCCCACAATAAGCTATCTGCAAGCTGGAGAACCAGGGAAGCTGGTGGTGTAACTCTCAGTCTGAGGCCAAAGGCCTGAGTACGCAGGGGTCCTGTGGTACGAACCCCAGAGGCCAACAGCCAGAGACCCTGGAGTTCTGATGTTCAAGGACAGGGTACAGAGAGAGGGAGAAAGCGAGGGAGAGGGAGAAAGAGAGACAGAGAGAGAGAGAGAGACAAAGAAAGAGAGAGAGGGAGAAAGGGGGAGACAGAGAGAGATAGAGAGAGAGAGGGAGAAAGAGAGAGAGCAGGCAAATTCACCTTTCCTCTTCCTGTTTGTTCTATCTGGGGCCCCAGCTAATTGGATGGTGCTGCTCACACTGAGGGCCAATCTCCACTCAGCCAGTATCCCTCAGGAACACCCTCATGGGCATGCCTGGAAATAATGTTTCATTGGCTATCTAGGCATCCTTTAATTCAGCCAAGTTGACGCCTGTTAATAAAATAACCATCATGACCTTCCAAGCGTTTTGTAGGCTTAGCTCTAATAATTAGAATAAAATTTTGTAGATGGAGTGAGGTAGGGTCCACTTTCTTCTTTTGCCTGTGACTGGCTATCCAGTTGTCCCTGTACCATTTGTTGAAAATAATATTCTTTTAAAAATATATTTCATGAACTAATTATGTATACTCTGTTTACTTTTATGTGGTGCTGAAGTCTCTGCTTGATTAGCTTAGTGGCCAGCTGTAGGACTGAATGAAGATTTTCTTAAATTCTGTGACCAATCAATCTTCCACCCTTCTGTATATGCTTTGGGGCACACTTTCAGTGCTTAGCAGTTTGCAACCCTACCTTAGCTTTCACTGCCTGCTTGCTCAGAGCCTCCCACTCAGCCAGAGGTGGAAGGTTAGGGTCTTCTCAGGTATTTCCTGGGAATGTGCCCGGCCCTGCCTATGTGTGTAGCCTTCTAGATCCCCAGGAATATCTTGTAGCTTTTAAAAGCTCCTTATAGACATTTTATTACCAGATTTTTGTTTCAAGGTTTTTGGCCATCTTTTTTTTTTTTTTTTTTTTTTTTTTTGACTGAATTAGTTTCACAGCCTCTGGCAGCTTGATGTTAAGCAATTGTGGCTGTTTTTGACAAATGCACTGAGAATAGACTTTTTCTTATTGAGTGACTCTGAGTCAGGTCAAATAAAGAGAAACCCTATGAATGGGGCTTTTCATTTCTTTTCCTTAACTGTTATTTTAGGCTCAGGAGTACATGTGCAGGTTTGTTATATAGGTAAACTCATGTCACAGGGGTTTGTTGTACAGATTATTTTGTCACCCAGGTACTAAGCCTAGTACCCAATAATTATTTTTTCTGACCTTTTCCCTCCTCCCACCCTCCACCCTCAAGTAGGCCTCAGCGTCTATTGTTACCTTCTTTGTGTCCATGAGTTCTCATCAATTAGTTCCCACTTATAAGTTAGAACATGTGGTATTTGGTGTTTTGTTCCTCCATTAGTTTGCTAAGAATAATGGCCTCCAGCTCAATTCATGTGTCTGCAAAAGACATGATCTCATTCTTTTTTATGGCTTCACAGTATTCCTTGGTGTATATGTACCACATTTTCTTTATCCAATCTGTTACTGATGGGCACTTAGGTTGATTCCATGTCTTCGCTATTGTAAATAGTTCTGCAGTGAACATATGCATGCATGTGTCTTTATGACAGAACAATGTATATTCCTTTGGGTATATACTCAGTAATGGGATTGCTGGGTTGAATGGTAGTTCCGTTTTTAGCTCTTTGAGAAATTGCCACTGCTTTCCCCAATGATTGAGCTAATTTACACTCTCACCAATAGTGTATTAGCATTCCCCTTTCTCTGCAACCTTGTCAGCATCTGTTATTTTTTGACTTTTCAGTAATAGCAATTCTGATTGGTGTGAGGTGATATCTCATTGTGGTATTGATTTGCATTTCTCTAATGATCAGTGATACTGAGCGTTTGTTTATATGCTTGTTGGCTGCATGGAATCTTCTTTTGAAAAGTGTCTGTTCATGTTCTTTGCCCACTTTTTAATGGGGTTGTTTGTTTTTTCCTTGTTAATTTGTTTAATTTTCTTATAGATATTGGATATTAGACCTTTGTCAGATGCATAGTTTGTAAATATTTTCTCCCATTCTGTATGTTGTCCATTTACTCTGTTAATAGTTTCTTTTGCTGTGCAGTTCTTAAGTTTAATTAGATGCAAATGAGGCTTTTCCAGAGAGCTTTCAGGTAGGTCAAATAGTGGCAATTCTCTGTGGCATTTTAGGAAGCTCTAAACCTGTTCTTTCCTCTCTGGTGGCTGTTAAGCTGCTGGTGTTTATAGTTTCTAAGGCTGCCTATTTTCAAGGCTATTACAGAGCTGGGGAGAGTAGACTAGATAAATTCAAACACCACAAAGCTCGCTCTTTCTAAGTGAGATTCAGCCACTTTTCTTGAATAAATGCTTCTTGGATCCTTGTAAGCCTTTAGTTAATTTGTAGAGCTCTAAGAAAGTTAATTTTAATTTTAACTATTTTTTTGGACTAGCGTTCTTATTGCTTTTATGGAGCAATGAATTTTTAGAGGTTCTTACTCTACCATACTAGAATTACTTCTCTCCAGTCCCTTCATTCTTACTTGTGTGTTTATCAGCATTAAAAGTCAATGAGAAATAAATGGGCTCCTGGGTGCCTACATACCTCTGCAGAGATGAGGCAATAACAGTGTGTGGTTGTCTAGCATGACTGGTCTGCAGCAGTGAGTATCTGAGAACCTGTTGTTTCAGCTGGAACTTTTCTTAACCTGGAAAGGAGCAAACAGCTTAGACCTGGAGAACAAAGGAAACAACACTGGTCAACAGCAGTGGTTGCACGTATAGGGCCTCTGGGTAAGTGTTGAATGCAGTAGGCTAAACTAATGAAATATCAAAAACTCAACTGTTACAGCTCACTTTTGTCTCATTTCACAGTAGAAAAAGATACCACACTGTGAAAGTTCTTGTCCAGACTTTTGTTTTTAATGTAAAAATGGATGCTTCTGCTTAGAGATAGAGGATATTGTTCATATGTTTCCAGTGCTTGCTTTCCCTTCTTTGACCTCCTATTCATTGATAGTGGCTGAAGCTCACCCATTTACCTCTTCCCTTATTCTTCTTTCCTTTAAGACCAGAGTCCATAGCGGTGAATTCAGACAGTATCGTGTGAGCTGGGAAATACTTGTGTAGAGTGTTGGTTTTTGCATTTATTAACTTCAAAGAATCAAATGAGAAAGTCTAAATCAAGACTGGGAATAACTCCTTATTTTGAACTCATATTTGCCTTTTTACACAACTATTATCTAAAACTAACTAATACACAACTATTAACCAAAGCCTAGACCAAGAGTCAATAGTTATGTAAGAAGGCTAATTTGAGTTCAAAATAAGGAATTATTTTCAAAAAACAACAGCTCTAAATGTAGCTCAGTTGCCATTTCCTCTGTGAAGTCTTCCTCACTTTCCCTGGCGGAGCAAGTTTTTCCTTTTGTAGCACTTGATACGTCTCATCTTTTACCACCTTCTCATTGTATTATAGGTATTTACCCACATGTTTATCTAGTTTAGTGGTTTTCAGCCAGGGGCAATTTTGCCCCACTTTGGATGTTTGGCAATGTTTGGAAATATTTTTGTTTGGCACATGCGAGTAGAGGGTGGTGCTGGCAGCTAGTGGGTAGAGGCTATGGAGTTGCCAAACATCCTACAATGCACAGATGGCTCTCCACAACAAAGAATTCTCCCTCTCTGAATGTCAGGATTGCTGAGATTCAGAAACTGCTTTGTCCATGACATTTGAGGGCAGGGAGCTTGCAGCTACACATATAAGACATAATAAATGGTAAACATATCAATCGGTTAAAGAAGAGAGTAAAAAGTCTGTTTCCTTATTGGTCTTGCAGTTACAACCAGTGGTTTGAGGGCTTAAAATGATGCATTTACATTTTTCTTTTCCTGGTCACTGAGAAGGAAATCCAGAAAGATCAAACATCCATTTATTCATATGAGTAAATGTCAAAAATACATGAAAGATGTCAACCTGAGATGCACTGCGGGCAAGCTGGAAAATGAAATCCTGACATTTCTTCAGAAAGGCGTCACTCAGCCTTACCTTAGCTGATGGGGCTGGCACTCCTCATTTGTCAGAATAGGCATGGCCTTTTATCTGAGTTTGTTTTACTCCTCAGTGTGGCTTTGGGTTGTGGATTTGATTTGCTATTCTCTGTTATGCACAGAGTCTCAAGATAACACGATGTAGAGAGATGCCCAGAACCAGGCAGCCTGTGCACAGATGACAGAGGGATGGGAGGCAAAACATGAAGGAGAAACTTTCTGCTTCTATTTATTGCCATGTGAAAAGAAACCATGATCTTGCTTGTTGGAGAGAAAAGATAAAGAGCATGGAGGAAGAGATAGCTTGACTCTCCAGACTTTGGGGCTCACTTACAGTAGGCATCACTGTGCAAACTGCACTAGGTGGGGTGGCATCTTCCAGACATTGCTTTTGCAGGGAAAGTGAGCCCAGGTCTAACAACATATACACATGTCCTCTGTCTGTCAGTGTCCCTGTCAGGATATGTGTACACAAAGCAAAAGCACAGGACTTGGAAAAGTTTGTCAAAGGGACTTATGTAAAAATAATTAATGAATAAATGATTTAGGAAGAGATGAGGGTTTTTGTAAAAATTCAAGCAGTTGCTATTCATTGAGTATTTACTCTGCCAGGACTTTTGCTAAATGTTTTCATTTCCTCTTCATTCCTGTGAGTTAAGAATGTTCATCTTTTTATAGATAAAAAAAATGCAGAAACAACAACAACAACTGAGGTTCAGAGATGTCAGCTAGCTTGCCTGAGGTTGCGGAGCTTGTGTGGTAGAGTTAGGATATGAACCTAGACCAATGATGCATTACTTTAAGGGAAGGGCTTTAGTTCCTTTGAAATCTGCAAAAAGCAAGACAGGCCCCACAGCCCCGGAGTCAAAGCCAGTTCCCATCCCAGTCCCATCCCTTAGCCACCTGCCTCCTCTTTCCTTTCAACATGACACATACCACTCTGTCCTTCGCTGAGGACTTCCTGGCAGGTGGTGTCGCTGTGGCCATCCCCAAGATGGCAGTAGTGCCCATCGAGGGGGTCAAGCTGCTGCTGCAGGTGCAGCATGCCAGCAAGCAAATCACCACAGATAAGCAATACAAAGGCATTATAGACTGTGTGGTCCGTATTCCCAAGGAGCAGGGAGTCCTATCCTTCTGGCGCGGTAACCTGGCCAATGTCATCAGATAATTCCCCACCCAGGCTCTCAACTTCACCTTCAAAGATAAAAACAAGCAGATCTTCCTGGGTGGTGTGGACAAGAAGACCCAGTTTTGGCATGACTTTGCAGGGAATCTGGCATCGGGCAGTGCCGCTGGGGCCACATCCTTATGTTTTGTGTACCCTTTTGGTTTTGCCCATACCTTTCTAGCAGCCGATGTGGGTAGACCTGGAGGCGAAAGGGGATTCAGAGATCTCGATGACTGCCTGGTTAAGATCTACAAATCGGATGGGATTAAGGGCCTGTACCAAGGCTTTAACGTGCCTGTGCAGGGTATTGTCATCTACCAAGCTGTCTACTTCAGTATCTATGGCACTGTAAAGGGAATGCTTCCAGATCCCAAGAACACTCGCATCGTCATCAGCTGGATGATGGCACAGTCCATCACTTCCATTTGCTGGGTTGACTTCCTATCCATTTGACACTGTTTGCCGCTGCATGATGATGCAGTCAGAACTCAAAGCAACTGACATCATGTACACAGGCACACTTGACTGCTGGAGGAAGATTGCTCGTGATGAAGGAGACAAAGCTTTTTTCAAGGGTGCATGGTCCAATGTCCTCAGAGGCATGGGTGGTGCTTTTGTGCTTGTCTTGTGTGATGAAATCAAAAAGTACACATAAGTTATTTCCTAGGATTTTTTCCCCCTGTGAGCAGGCATGTTGTATTATATAACATATCTTGAGCATTCTTAACAGACTCCTGGCTGTCAGTTTATCAGTGGGAACTATTTACTGGTTGAAAATGGGAAGCAATAATATTCATCTAACCAGTTTTCTCTTAAAGCCATTTCCATGATGATGATGATGGGACTCAATTATATTTTGTATTTCAGTCACTCCTGATAAATAACAAATTTGGAGAAATAAAAATAAGTAAAATAAAAAACAGAAGCAAGGCAGTTGAGGAGGTAGAATTCAGTCAGCAAGCACCCATTGTCCACTCTGTTCAGTAGAAACCCTAGGAAGTGTTCTTTCACTTGGGTTTTAATGAAGACAACAAAAGAATCAGATAGCACCGACAGAATCCATCCACTGTAATAAGAACTGTAGCCACTTAATTATACATATATGGCTTATAACTCTTCAGGCCACAAACTGTGGGTGGAGTGATAGACACTGCCACCATCCATATGTCACAGACTAGTCCCCATCAGCTAATGAGGAAACCCAGCCTCTTGTGAAACATTGCAAGATTTTCTGAGTCAAGGGGTTTCTTCCAGATCCTTATGCATATGTCAGACAGCTTGCTGCAGCACCTTTCATTTCCCTCCTCTATCTTTGACCTGACTACTGCCAGGCACTATCAGTGTGGTGCAGAACTTCAGAGTGTAGGCTCTGGAGTCAGACTCTCACCAACCATATTCTGCTTCTGCCACTAACTTGCGGAGAACTTGGATAATTAGCTTACATCTGCTTTCCTTACTTATAGAATGAGAATAATGATGATTCCTCCATCAAATAGTTGTAAGGATTAACTGAAGGAATCCATTCAAAGTGCTTAGCATGGTGCCTTGCAAACAGACCTCCTTAAAGGTTGGCTATTATTATTTTTAATTGCACTATATCTTCCATGAATGATAAGAAGCAGCAGCATTTAGAAGCTGCTTCGGTAGAGCACTCTTTAAAGAACTACCTGGGGACAAACCCCCTTGGAGCCAGGAAGCTTTTAAATATGGAGAGAAAAATGGGAGAAGATGGTGACTCCCAGCCAAATAGACTGGGCTCCTCTCAACTCCTTCTCACATCTCCAAGGCACTGTGGAGAGTTTTATTTTTAATTCAAAACCATAGGTTAAAACTTTTTATTAAACCTGTCATAATAATGTCATGTCTGGCATGCCTAAACATGTAATTTGTGTTATATAGCTATGATTTTCTGTGTGGGTACGTATAAACATACATATATACACACACACATAATTTTCTATATATAGAAATTTCTGTATATGTAGATTATATAAAATTCTATATATCTAGACTTTGTAGAATAAAAATTTCTGTATATACCTATATACCTGTATATACCTATATACCTGTATATACACGAGATTTTCTGTATGTGTGCATTTATATATAAATATATACTTACATATACTTAAATATATATAATTTGTGTGTGCATATATATAAAACATATACGCGTGTGTGTGTGTGTGTGTGTTTGTGTGTGTATGTATTTGGGTGTGCTGGGCGGTAGAGAGCCCTTTTCTGTGATGTTATAAAGACGCTTGATTCTTAAAAAATTTAAGCACAAGTTGAAATGTATATTCCTTGACTCTGGGTATTATGACTCAGGAGGCTGGGCAAGGCAGAAATAATTTTAAACAAGCATTTCAGGTATCTTAGAGGCAGGTGGTCCAGAAAGTCCTGGAACAATATCTAAGGTAAAGTTTGTGGAACCAACTTTTCGGGAGAGGTTATCAAAGTGTCCATGATGGATGTCCTTCCTGGTCCCTCTGTTGTCTTCAGAGTTTTTCAGCCTCTTTAATGAATGTGAGAGCTGGCACCACTGAAGTGGAGGGAATTACTCCCCACTCTTTCCAAGTCTTTTTGAGACTCTTGTTAGACACTTCATTACACAGTAAAGCCACACCCTTCATTTATCTTGAGTTGCAGAGAAATCTGAGTATGAGGTTGTTTTTGCCTAACACTGTTATCAGTGGGGAACACACGGGATTGGATGAAACCTGAATTCACGCTCGTAGGGAAATCCTAAACTTTAAAGACAGGCTCAGTGGAGGCAATATTTAATTCTGCGTACAAGTACCTCTCTCTGTCTGAAACAGAAAGATCCTCATTATAATTGACCAGAGTTCTTCTTTGCAAGTAAGATCATCCACTCTACTAAGTCTTAAGTCAAAGCATAAGAGGCATTTGTTAAAAAAATTTAAAAAAGTTTACAAAACCTCCAGGTAGGCCAGGAGACTCTGAGATCAGGAACAATGCCCAAATGCATCTCAGGCCTGTTTCAGGGACAACCCTCCTGCGTTGCTGTGGGAAGTTCCATTATAGGTTTATCTGATTGTAGAATCTAAGTCACATGTCTTTCCAGCTGTATATTGAAGCTGGCTCAAACCAGGTCATGAGAGTTGATTGTTAAGTTTCATATACTTTATTTTTTTAATTTTAATTTTTGTTTATGCTTTTATTGATACATAAAAGATGTACATATTTTAGGGGTACATGTGGTAATTTGTACATTCATTTGATACATTCATATAATCAAATCAGGGTAATTGGGACATCTATTACCTTAAATATTTATCTTTTCTTTAGGAAGATTGGAATTATTCTCTTTTAGCTATTGAAATGTACAATAGATTAATGTTAACTATAGTCACGCCGATGATCCATTGAACACCAGATCTTATTTCTTCTAGCTACTGTATATCTGTACCCACAAACCAACTTCTCTTCATCCCCTCCTTCCCCATACTATCTCGGCCTCTGGAAAACACCAATCTACTCGGTATCTTCATGAGATCCACTATTTTTTAGCTCCCAATATGAGTGAGAACATGTGATATTTGTCTTTCTGGGCTTGGCTTAGTTCGCGTAACATAATGACCTTGGGTTTCATCCATGCTGCTGCAAATTACAGAATTTCATTCTTTTTTATGTCTGAATAATATTCCATTGTGTATATATATACCACATTTCTCTAACCATTTATCCATTGATGGGCACCTTGGTTGAATTCATATTTTGGCTATTGTGAATAGTGCTGCAATAAATGTGGGAGTGCCGATATCTTTTTATTATATTGATTTACTTTCTTTTGGGTGTATACCTAGCAGTAGAATTGCTGGCTTATGTCATAACTCTATATTTAGATTTTTGAGGAATTTCCATACTGTTTTCTATAGTGGCTGTACTAATTTACATTCCCACCAACATTGTATGAGAGTTCCCTTTTCTCTACATCCTTGCCAGCACCTATTATTTCCTGTCTTTTTGTCCAAAGCTATTCTAATTGTGGTAAGGTGATATCTCTCTGTAGTTTTGTTTTGAATTTTTCTGATGATTAGTGATGTTGAACATTTTTTCATATATCTGTTGGCCATTTATGTGTCTTTTGAGAAATGTCTATTCAGATCTTTTGCCTATTTTCAAATCAGGTTATTATTTTTTGCTATTGAATTGTTTGAGTTCCTTATATATTCTAGTTTTTAATCTTTTGTCAGATGGATAGTTTGAAGATGTTTTTATTCATTTTGTGGATTGTCTCTTCACTTTGTTGATTATTTTTTTGCTGTGCAGAAGTTCTTTTGCTTGACGTAATCCTGTTTTTCTGTTTTTGCTTCAGTTGCCTGGGCTTTTGAGGTCTTACTCAAAAAGTCTTTATCAAGACCAATGCTATGGAGCATTTCCCAAACATTTTCTTACAGTAGTTTCACATTTGAGTTCTTAGATATAAATATTGAATCATTTTGATTTGATATTTGCATGTGGTGAGAGATAGGGTCTAATTTTATTCTTTGGCATACGATATTGGTTTTCCCAGCATCATTTATTGAAGAGACTCCCCCTTCCCTATTGTATGATTTTGGTGCCTTTGTTGAAATGAGTTGGCTATAAATTTGTGGATTTATATCTGAGTACTTTATTCTATTCCATTGGTCTATGTGTTGTTCTTGTGCCAGTACCATGCTGATTTGGTTACTATAGCTTTGTAGGATATTTTGAAGTCAGATAGTGTGATGCCTGTGCCTTTATTCTTTTTGCTCAGAATTTTTTTATTTTTGGCTATTCAGGGTTTTTATGGTTCCATATAAATATTAGGATTGTTTTTCTATTTCTGTGAAGAATGTTATTGGTATTTTGATAGAGATTGCTTTGAATCTGTAAATTGCTTTGAGTAGTATTGTCATTTTAACAATTTAAATTATTTCAGTCCATGAGCATGGAATATTTTTCCATGTTTTTGGTGTCCTCTTCAATTTCTTTCATCAGTGGTTTATAATTTTTCTTGTATAGATCTTTCACTTCTTTGGTTGACTTGATTCCTAGGTGTTTTATATTATTTGTAGCTATTGGAAATAACATTGCTTTCTGGATTTCTTTTTCAGATCATTTGCTGTTGGTGTGTACAAATGCTAACGGTTTTTGTGTCAATTTTGCCTCGGCTCAAACAACTGATCAGTGCCTGCCTGTCCCAAATCGGGGAGGTCCCAAAGGGGATAGCTCAGCCCTGTGGAAAGGCTGTCTGGAGATTCATGCCCAGGGGGCCTGCAGAACATGCCTCCTACAGCACGGTGCTGCTGAACAGCCAGTCTGATTTGGCATCTTCTTTGGAAGAGTTACAGAGGAGAGTTTCCAGGGCTGGAAATGGTAGTTCCATCTCTACTCTTTCTCTCTGGCTTTCCTCAGGGATATTTTTTCCCTTTAGTCACTCATGATGTTTCCCATGGGTTGAGTCAGGAATGGGTCTCTTGCCAGGGAACCCAAGATGGTGGCGAAGCTGGTTCTCCACTTTAATCTCACTTTTTCCAGTGTATAAACTGTGTAAAGGGAAATTTTCTACGTACTTGATGCCAGGCAGATTGGGGTGAGTGATTTCAGGATATGGAAATCTGATTTTCTTACTGTCTTCTTGTCATTTTTTTGCTTCTTTGTGGCCCTGGGAACCAATTCATCCTCATATTTTAGTTCTGGGATATTGTTGATGATAATTTCAGTGCTGTATATTTATTTTGGGTTTTCTGTGTGTGTGTGTGTGTTGGAGTTGCATCTGTGATGCCATTTTGGAATTGGAAGACCCCAGTTTCAGGAATTTTAAAAGCCAGTTTTAAACTGTTGGAAACTTGACATAGGCCATGGTAGGAGTGTAGGTGTACCTTATTTTATTGTCTTTTACTTTATTGTGTTTTGCAGATATTGTATTTTCTACGGATTGAAGATTTGTGGCAACCCTATATCCAGCAAGACCGTTGGTGCCATTTTTCCAACAGCGTGTGCTTACTTCATGTCTCTGTGTCACATTTTGATAATTCTCACAATATTTCAAACTTTTTCATTATCATATCTGCTGTAGTGATCTGTGTTCAGTGATCTTTAATGCTACCATTGTAATTATTTTCGGGCACCACGAACTGTGCCTTTGTATTCCCTGAGACAGAACAGTATTAAAATTAGGCTAATGAGTAACTTTACGATGGCCTCTAACTGTTCAAGTGAAAGGAAGAGGCTCATGTCTCTCACTTTAAATCAAAAGCTAGAAGTGATTAAGCTTAGTGAGAAAGGCATGTCAAAAGCCAAGGCAGGCTGAAAGCTATGCCTCTTGCACCACACAGCCAAGTTGTGAATGCAAATGAAACATTATTGAAAGAATTTAAAAGTGCTACTCCAATGAACACACGACTGATCAGAAAGCAAAACAGCCTTATTGCTGATATGGAGAAAGTATGAGTGGCTGGGATAGAAGATTAAACCAGCCATAATGTTCCTTAAGCCAAAGCCTAATCTGGAGAAAGACTCGAACTCTCTTCAATTTAATGAGGCTGAGAGGGGTGAGGAAGCTGCACAAGAAAAGTTTGAGGCTAACAGAGATTAGTTAATGAGTTGTTTCCGTAACATGAAAGTGCAAGATGAAGCAGCAAATGCTAATGTAGAAGCTGCAGCAAGTTATCCAGAAGATCTGGCTAAGATCATTGGTGAAGGTGGCTTCACTAAAAAATAGATTTTCAGTACAAACCAAACAGCCCTCTATTGGAAGAAGATGCTCTCTAGAAATTTTACAGCTAGAGAGGAGAAGTCAATGTCTGACTTCGAAGCTTCAAAAAATAGGCTGATTCTCTTGTTAAGGTATAATGCAGCTGGTGACCTTAAGTTGATGCTTAAATGCTCATTTATCATTCTGAATATCCTAGGACCCTTAATAATTATGCTAAATCTACTCTGCCTATGCTGTATAAATGGAACAACAAGACCTGGATGATAGCATATCTGTTTATAGTATGGTTTGTTGCATATTTTAATCCCACTATTGATACCTACTGCTCAGAAAAAAGGATTCTTTACAAAATGTTGCTGCTCATTGACAATATACCTGTTCACTCAAGAGCTCCGATGGAGATGCACAGGAGATTAATGTTTTTATGCCTGCAAAGACAACATTCATTATGTAGTCTATGGATCAAGGAGAAATTTTGACTTTCAAATATTATTATTTAATAAATACATTTTGTAAGGCTACAGCTGCCATAGTGATTCCTCTGATGAATCTGGGCAAACTAAATGGAAAAGCTTCTGGAAAGGATTCACCATTCCAGATGCCATTGAGAACATTCATAATCGAGGCTAGGAGGTGAAAATATCAATGTTAACATGAGTTTGGAAGAAGTTAATTCCAATCTTTATGGATGAGTTTGAGGGATTCAAGACTTCTTTGGGAGAAGTAACCACAGATGTAGTGGAAACAGCAAGAAAACTAGAAGGGTAGCCTAAAGATGTGACTGAATTGCTGCAATCTCATGGTCAAACTGTAATGAGTGAGGAGTTGCTTCTTACATATGAGCAAAGAAAGTGGTTTCTTGAGATAGAATCTATTCCTGGTGAAGATTCTGTGAACAATGTTGAAATAATGGCAAAGTATTTCAAATATTACATAAACTTAGTTGATAAAGCAGTGGCAGGATTTGAGAGGATTGACTCCAGTTTCAAAAGAAGTAAAAGAAGTTGTGCTGTAAATAAAATGCAATCAAACAGCATTGCGTACCACAGATAAATCTTTCATGAAAGGATGAGTCAATTGATGCCGCAAACTTCATAGTTGTCTTATTGCAAGAAATTGCCATAGCCTTCCCAACCTTCAGCAACCACCAGCCTGATCAGTTAGCAGTCATCAACAATGAGGCAAGACCCTCCACCAGCAAAAGGTTATGACTTGCTGAAGGCTCAGATGATCATTACCATTTTTTAGCAATAAAGTAATTTTAAATTAAGGTATACACATTGTTTTTTAAAGACATAATGCTATTGCACACTTAATAGACTACTATATAGTATAAACATAACTTTTATACACACTGCAAAACCAAAAAATTCATGTGACTTGCTTTGTTACAATATTTGTTTTACTGTGGTGGTCTGGAACCAAACCTGCAATATGCCTGAGGTATAGCTATATTTACACCACGGAAACTGGAAAATGCAATTTCCAAACTAGGGCTTTTTTCTTCCCCGGGAAAGGTGATTGTGAAATATTTAGCAGTATATCACTGCAAATGATAGTTCAGTCTCATATCTCCTTTGGGAAGGAGGAGGTCTAATAGTGTATGAAATTTTCTAAACATAGGAATTCTGTTTAAAATATGCTATGCAGCTACCAACAGCCATTGATTGCAAGGTTTCCTCCACTTCACTCCCTTGTCAAAGTATCTTTTGATGCCTGATAATGCAGTGAGATAGAACTGCAAATGTACTTTAGGTTATAGCCAGAATTTACAGCCTTGTTTCCCCTCTATTGGACATTGTTCCAAGCAACACTGTTTTCCCGGAAATACTGCAGACTGTTTATTTAAGGACAAAAGGGGACCATGTGGCTTTTTGAAATGTCACTGTCAAGCACTGGGCCATGACAATTCTGACCAAGTATGGCAGTGTTCTAGTATTAGGTCTCCAGGAATTATTCCCAGGAGGCGAGTAGTCTTCAAAGATAAAATGATGGTGCAGATGGTCACACAGCACGTATGAGAGAGATATACCAAGAGAGACACTCCATCTCTACAAAAAAATAATGAGAAGGTGGGCGTGGTGGCTCATGCCTGTAATCCCAGCACTTTGGGAGGCCGAGGTGAGTGGATCACCTGAGGTCAGGAGTTCGAGATCAGCCTGACCAACATGGAGAAACCCTGTCTCTACTGAAAATACAAAATTAGCTGGGCATGGTGGTACATGCCTGTAATCCCAGCTACTTTGGAGGCTGAGGCAGGAGAATTGCTTGAACCCGGGAGGTGGAGGTTGCAGTGAGCCAAGATTGTGCCATTGCACTCCAGCCTGGGCAACAAGAGCGATACTCCATTTCAAAATAATAATAATGATGATAATAATAATTATTATAATAAGGAGAAACTTACTTGGCAAATTCAGAGATGGGAAATCTTGAAAGAGTCTCTCAATTGGAAATGAAGGAAATTGGGCAGCATTTTCTTCTTCATTTCTCACCTTCTCCTCTAGGTACCAGACAGACTCCTGGGAAGTCAGGGAAGTCAGGAGAAAAAGTTTCAGTCTCGCCTAGGACAGATAGGACAGAAAGCTCATGTTGACAAGCCAGAGCTGAGGGGGCTGCCACCAGTTAAGATCTTCTCAAGCACAAGCATTCCAGTACTATTAGCCCTCCCTTGGACACAAAGAGTAGTGGCCAGACTGGGGTCATGCTCAACGTGGGGTAGCAGAGATGTCTGTGGTGCCCAGAAGTAGAGAAACAGTTCCAGGCTCCAAGCAGAGTGTTTTGAAAAAGACTTTTTTTGTGAAGTATCATGAAGCCCTCTCTCAGCTGCAAAGGACTCTTTATCAGTGACAGCAGTGACTGTAGTGATGGGTGCAGGGGACAGACCATTCAACCCAGCTGAAAGGTATCCTAGGGAACCAGTGAGGAGCCCTGGTGAGTAACAGTCACTGCACCCCACTGCCCATTAAAATAAAATAACAAATGTCTCTAATTATAAAAGTAATACATATTTTTGTAGAAAATTTAGACAATATTGAGAAATATAAAGAAAAAAATTTAAAATATTATGATTATCTTGCCACCACCTAAACATTTCTAACTTTTTCTTTCAGTCATTTTTTCTATGTGAGATCATACTGTATATTCTGTAGGCTATATTTTTTCTTAACCTCATGTCACAAGTACTTATTTATATTATTATATTTGTAATTATAACCATTTAAAATAATTGCACAATATTCCATTATATATGTATATGTGCCCACACACATCTATCTTATCCATCCATCTATCTATCTATCTATCTATCAATCTATCAATCATCTATCATCTGTCATCTATCTATCTAATTCATTATTAAAAAGACTGGAGTCCGGGTGTAGAGGTGCACATCTATAATTCTGACTATCGCTGAGAGGATTATTTGAACCTGGAATTTGAGGTGAGCCTGGGCAACCTAGTGAGATCCTGGCTCTTAAAAAGAAGACTGTAATAAACATCAATATTTATGTGCATTTCTGATTATTTCCTTAAGTTAGATTTCCAGCATAGAAATAAAATTAATAGGCACTTAAAGTCTGTTGATATGGCTTCCTAAAAAGACTTTCTGAATTATTATCTAGATTCTTGTCTTGAGTACAGTTTAATGTTATGTTAAGCACAGGCTTTGAGTCCAGAAAGAAGTGGATTTAAGTTTTCACCCTGCCACTTCCAAGCTGTCTCATTTTGGTCCTCTAACCCTCATTTCCTCTTCTGCAGGGTGGGGAGAGCAACATCTGCTTTGTAGGGCTGTTGTATGGATTATGTGGAATAATGTATGTAAAACCCTTAGCCTAGGAGCTGGCCCACAGCAAGTGCACCGGATACCTCATGTACCATCACACATTCTTGCGGCGGCCTCAACTCCGGTGCAACATGGTATCACCTGTTCCATACAGGCCTGGCCTGCTTCATACAGATGCAACCTGACAGCTCCCTAACATTCTCACTTTCTTCTCAGGGATGTTCTGACACCTGCAGTGGGCACTCCTGTGTGTGCAACTCAGAAATGCAAGAGATTTAATATCTTTCTGGGCAGCCCGTGACCAGTGGTGAAGGCAACCAATGGATGAACCCTATCCCCTTTCTTTCCTGGATGGATGATTCTGAGAAGTGTCTCATAAGGTCCTGCCTTTCCCTGCTTTGCTAAACTACTTCCCTGTTCTGCATTCCTGCTCCCTCAGGTTCCATTCTCAAATAAGTCATCACCATGTGAGCCTTTGTCTCAGGCTCTGCTTTTGAGGAACCCAGGCTAAAATAGGAAGCATCAATAAATGTTAGTTTTTATGAACATTATTGCTGATCTTGTAAATGCCCCTCATCTAGAATATTGCTGCAGGAAATTCAATCACCTACCAGCTGTTTCTAGGGCTTCCTAGAAATCCTTATTCCATCCTTGCAGGTGCACAGCTTTTGTTGCTTCTGCCCTTCCTCTCGCCCTCTCTATATCCCTTCCCTATGCTACTCCGGCCTTCCTGGTCTGCTTCTCCTAGAGCTATGAATACGCAGGCTTCCCCCAACCTACCCCTTTCTTTTCCCAGGCATGCTTAGTCCAGCGCTTCGTGGGCAACAGAGATGCATATGGAAAACCCATGGGGACACGCTTGCTTCACCAAATAAGGGTATTTCCCTTTTCCTTGGAAAAAAGAATGAACAAATGATGGTTGTTAAGTAAACATTACTAAAATCTGTGCCCTTTCCCAGAAGTATATCGTGCATATTTATTTTAATAAGGCAAGAGAACAAATAACAGTTTCTAGAGGCAAGGGAAACAGCTGATTTACTGTCCTCCTTTTAGAACATAGCTCAAGAGACTGGGTTTTGTTTTTGTTTTTGCATAAGTAATCTTAGATCCATCCTCTATATTTCTACTGCTCCCCCTGGGCCTTTGTTATGACTTCATCATTTCCTGACTGGCTGACTGGTACTGTGTTATAACCACCCTTTCCCTCCACACTTCCATCAGAGTTGCCCTCTTATAACTCACATGTGATTATTGCACTCTACTGCTTAGAACCTGTCAATGGGTCCCACTGTCCAGATTACAGTGTCTATATTTCCCTTATAATCAGCCCTGCCTATTTCTCAGAGTATCTTTCTCCACTAATTTTTCCTCACAGTGCACCTAAGCCAGCAGTTCTCAGCTTCAACATCACCTGCCAACTTTTTAGAAAATCAGATTTGTGGGCCCACTTCAGACCTATTCAATATGAAACTCTGGGGATGAGGCCCAGTAATCTGTGCTTTAATAAACTCTCCAAGTGACTTTGATGCATGCTAAATTTGAGAGCCACTCACCAAAGTGAAGCAGGTGCAGTGTATGCAGTTTGAATTGCCCTTAATCCCCTAATGCACCTAGAATTTCCTACTCATCCTTCAAAAGTCATCACCTCTTTCATGAAGCCTTCTCTGCCTTCATCTAACAGTGTTTACCATTCCCTGCTTGGTATCTCCAGGACACTTCCATTGTGAAGTGTAAAACACTGTTTTGCAATTCTTGCAAACTTACTTGTCCATCTCCCTGACTAGACTATGAGATGCTCATGGGAAATACTCTCTAAAAGCTTGTTTTAACTTTCTCTTTCCTGTTGGTCTCTCTCTGTCTTCATGCACACATGTATACGGCTTCCATAAAGAAGACTGCAGAATAGAATAGGGAACCACTGTTTAAAGTTCATTGCCCTTTCCACCAATTGGGATCTCATTCTGGCTGCCTTTTTTCCCTTTATATCTTATTCAATAAGCTTTTATTTAATTTTAACTTTTTTGTTAGTTTTTAAACTTTAAACTTTTTTATTTCTAATTTTTATGGGTACATAGTAGATGTATATACTTATGGGGTACATGAGCTAGTTTGATACGGGCACAAAATGTGTAATAATCACACCAGGGTAAATGAAGTATTCATTATGTCAAGAATTTATTTCTTTGTGTTACAAACAATCCAGTTATATGCTTAGTTATTTTAAAATGTACAATAAATTATTGTTGATTGTAGTCATCCTGTTGTGCTGTGAAATACTAGATCTTATTCATTCTATCTAACTACATTTTTGTACCCATTAACCATCCTCACTGTCCCCCTACCCTCTACCAGCTACCCTCCCAGCCTCTGGTAACCATCATTCTGCTCTCTACCTCCATGAATTCAACTGTTTTAATTTTTAGCTCCCACAAATGAGTGAGAACATGCGAAGTTTGTCTTTCTGTCCTGGCTGCCTCTTTTTGTCTGTCATCACAAGGTGTGTAACTGACTTTGCCCCAGGTATTAAGAAACAGATACAGTCACCTCTCAAAAAAGGGGGCCAGTTATCAGAAACAGGTCAGTTCCTGGCACTATCGATGAGTAATTCTGTTTGCTTTATGACCCTGACTCTCCTTTAAAAATGAATCAGTTGAAGCTGTAGTTGATTATGCTTTCTTTTCGGTCTTAGACCTACAAAGACTTTTTACTGACTTAGTAAATAAAAGCTAAGCCACTTAAAGAAACCTTGAAGTTGTCTGTTTAGGGGCATTAGTCTGTGTTATCATCTAGGGACAAACCTGTGACTCTCTTCTCTCTGTGTTATAAGAGTTGGTTTTGGGCTAGAGAGAACTCCGTTGTGAACTCAGAAGACGAGGTGGGGGTCCCGGGAGAGTCAGGGCAGGTAAGGGAGAGACGACCCTGATTTTATCCTCCTCTAATAGTGACTCCATAGCTATACAGATATTGGATAGTGCCCTTCAGTGTTGATAACTGGGAGGGAGATTTGCTGACTCTATCTGGAAAGAGAGCAGTTGGGAAGATGTCCTGATTGGCTAGTAGGCCAAGTTCTATAATATTTCCTTTATCTAGATATCCCCAGTGGCTAGGACAGTGCCTACTATGCCGTCAATTCTAAATACATTGTGGTTGAGCTTTTACAATTATAAATTCCAGGGTTTGTGGGCACTATACTACATAAAATCATTTACCTTTTTCTTGCAGCTTGAATTGGGCCATACACTTTTTTGAAAAGTCTTAATTTAAAAAGATAGAAGCAAGCAGCCCACAGCTGCATTGGTTTTTCTCTAGGTTAGAAGCTTTCCTATAAACCATTTGATGAAGTAGCAGATGGCAAAGTTAGAACCTTTGTAGCTCTAAGACTTAATAGAAGCCATGATCAACTATGGATTGTCTTGTAACCCAAATTGATGCTTTTGTTGCACTCTGATGGACTTGTCACTTGTTCTGCCTCTTGATTAATTGTGACAAAAATCATTCTAATTATACATATTGAACAATAAATCTTTGGTCAATATCCTCTAGATATAATTTGTGTAACCGAATACCCTCTTTTGAGTGTTGCTTTCAGAGCTAAAGCGGGAGGGAAGAGATGGCTCTGACAAATTCAGGGCATTTTTGAATAAGCATGAATTGGATTATAATAGGCTGCGATGAGAGAGCTAGAATATGGTGGAATACTTTATATTCAGCAGAGCTCATCTGGGTCCTGGCAATCAGAAATTCTGGGACACAGATTTTCTTCACTAAAACTCTTAATTTATGCCCATAATAGGCTGATTAAGGATGTGGCAGTGGAGTGATATGATTATCAGCTCAGCTTCTTCAGACCGAAGTTATAGATCCCATGAGCCACATATTCTGTTTCTGTGTGATGATGCCTGGATGTGGGCCCTGTGTATGTACAGTGAGTGAATGGATGCCTCTCCGGTGGAAGGTATCTGAGATTAATAGAAAAGCCTGCCTTTTGTCAGGTATTATAATCAGGAAGATGAAAGTTTCCTCTGTAATACAGTTTTTGCTTCCACTTCCAGGATGCTGCAATTAACGGCCTGGACAGAGGATGGGGACATGAATAATGGTAGAGTCCAGCATTAGCACAACACTCCATTCATCACTGCTGAAGGGCAAATGCATAACCCTCAAAATGATCCTGGAAAGAGGAAAAGGGAGAGGAATTGCAAGTTCCATGGAACAGTGATTTACCATGCAGCAGAGGATGTGAGCATCTCCGAAATAGAAGGGTCCACATATTTTGAACTTTAACATATATAATGATACTTATAATGTGACTGTTACGGGCAGCTGATTTTTCATACAATTGACATGTGAGTATTTTCCAGGCAGGCATCTTATTTCCTGTGTATGTGCCCCCTATTTATGCAGGACCATCAACAGGACCAACATTGAGTAGAAATCAGTCACAGCAAACCACTTTCCTTTTTATTTCATGTACTCTGTACCCTCCTTTAATGGCAACATAATTGCATCATATCATTGGTTTGTAGTGTGGAGGCTGTGGGTCTGATTTTTAGTTTCCCAATCCGTGCAGAATATTCAGAAGAATAGAGGGTTGGAGACCTCTAGTTCAGGTCAAAATCAGTGTGAAAGGCTTGACTTTGGAAAGGGTAAAGAGAGTTCAATTTAAACTGAGTCTCCAGCTAGGGGCAGGGAGAGGAAAGAGGAGTTAGTCTCCCACAAGAGGAGACTAGCATAATCTTTGTGCCCTAATTAGGCATCCTTGGGCTTAGGGAATTACTAGGGGATACGGGAGTGTAATGCAGGAAAACCAAGGCAGAAGTCATGTCCGAGAGTCTGGATCAATCCTTCAGGGCAGGGGGTGGAGCAAGGGAAGAAAGGGGAGCTGTGCCAAGGGGTCTACCAGTGGGCCCAGGGCAGATCCCAAGTCCATAAGCAATAGGATCAGGTCCAGGTACCACCTTCTTGAAATCTGAGGCTGCTGCTGTACTTCCTGCCCCTGCTACCTTGGGCCTGGGGCTGTAAATGTCATCAGATAGTCCACCTGGAAGGGCCTGTGGAAAGCAAAATCAGAGAAACAAGGCAGGAGCTGGCCACTTGTGAAATTTTTCCTGGAAACTCTGTCATGGAATCATGTTTTAGATACCAGAAGGAAGGGCTGCTCTGACTAACTGACCATGAATCGGAGAAGAGGCCTGCGATGATCTAGGCAGTGGGTTATGGGAGAGGAATGGAAAACTGCAGAATGGATTCTCCAGCCCATTCAGCGCTCATACTACATGGGCATGTTCACAGACCTGCAGGCTTTGCCTTTGTCTGTCTCCCTGCTTTTGGAAGGGATGGCACAGCTTTGCCCCCTTTCCTGGAGGCACAGTAGTCTGACTTGAGTCTTTCGCTGTCTTCTGTATCCAACTCATTCATGAAATTATATGAGATAATTTCCAAATAAGTGACTTTTTTGGCTTATTTGCCCAATTGACTTAATTATTGCCGGTTTATTCTTCTTGTTTTGGATTCCTTGAGCTGAGAGAGTGAAAAAGGGAGTTTATTTAAGAAGATAAGGACAGATTAGGTTTTCAATTTGGTGGTATGATGCAGTCTGCTTTCTTAACTCTATTATGACCTATTTAGTGTTTGTTTTTCTCTTATTGTGGAAGTAACATATGCTGATTATAGAGATATAGAAAAAGATAAAAAGTATCCATTTCAATTGACCAATAATGTCCTCTCAGCAATTTGGTGTATATCATGTATTTTTAAATAAACAGATTGCTTTGTAAATACACTTTATATCTTACTGTTGTAACATTAAAAAAAAGGTGGTTAAAATGGCGAGCAAGTGCAGAACAGCAGCACTTGGAAAGTAAGCTGGGGATGGCAAAAGCCTCAATTTCTGTTTCCACAAAGCACTCTGTTCTCTTTGTTGATCACTGAGACCCAGAAGCTACCATCTCCAGTGGAACTGGAACCTTTGTTTTTCTTGATCTCTGCATCGTGTGGCTCAGCCCCGGTTGGAACTGAAGCTTGGAATAAAGCCACAGTGAGCTGGGTCACACTGTTTCTTAGACTTCCCCCCACAGTACCTTGTTTGGAGAGAATTATAACTGAAAGGGAAAAAATTCCCTCTGGCAAGAAACTTGGCTTAGAAATGCTCATTTGGAGAAGCTTATTATTATTATTATTTTTTGGTTTTGCTGTTTAAATAAGGTCACTGCTATAAATCAATGTTTGTGAGTGTTAGAGAAGACCAAGTAAATAAATAAAGCCCTACGTATTTATTGTAAACAGAAACACCCTAGAGGTTCTCCAGGGGAAGAGAGAGTGAGAGAAAGGTCACCATTTCTTGCATACAGAAAATTAACTGTTTCATTAGTTTAGATAGAAACACATTTTTTCTTTAAAATTAGTTATGAGGAAAATATTTCCAAGTTTGTGCCTCTTATTAGGTGTATGAAGTATCAAAAATATTAAGTACAACTAACAGCATTAGGACTTGTTCTCACCTCAACTCCATCATCTGAATAAAACCACTGAAAAAGAGAAAAACAGCTCCTGACGTAAGGAAACTGGCCTGATATTTACATCTAGTTCATAGTGTTTGCCTGTTGGACACAAATGATCTCATAGAACATCAACAACAGACCAAGGCACTCTGACTATAATGGAGTGAGAGAAAAAACAAGTGAGACAAGACAACTTCAAAATTTTGTCTAAGCACAGGCAAAACCAAATGACCCAAATACCAGACATCCTCCTCTCTTGGCTAACATGAGTGACTATCAAAGCTTTAGCCTCTATGTGTTCCTCTTGACTTATAGAGAAGATTCATTAGGATACTGATATGGTTTGGCTCTGTATCCTCACCCAAATCTCATCTTGTAGCTCCCAGAATTCCCACGTGTTATGGGAGGGACCCAGTGGGAGATAATTGAGTCATGAGGGCGGGTCTTTCCTGTGCTGTTCTCGTGATAATAAATAAGTCTCATGAGATCTGAAGGTTTTAAAAATGGGAGTTTCCCTGCACAAGTTCTCTTCTCTTGTCTGCTGCCATGTGAGATGTGCCTTTCACCTTCTGCTGTGATTGTGAGGCCTTCCCAGCCACATGGAACTGTAAGTCCAATAAACCTTGCTCTTTTGTAAATTGCCCAGCCTCAGGTATGTCTTTATTGACAGGGTGAAAATGAACTAATAGAGATACCCAGTCTAGAATTGTCTCTGTTTCCTGACAGTATCCAATTCATAGCAAAGTCCAACTCTCTTTAACGCCCCCAAAGTCACCTAACCCATGCCCAAATCCTATAATTAATCTTTTCTTATACTTTCTTACTGAGATGATTCCCCATGATGTGCATTCTCCCTGACTGCCATGAGCACCAAACTCAATTGGTCCAACTGTAGGTGTGTTTCTCATTGTCTTTGGTGGGAGGTCTTTGGTGGAAGGAAGTTTACTGGTTTCCCAAGAGCTAATCCTCCCAGCCTATCATCCTGAAAACAGAAACATGATTTGTGGCTAGTAAAGCCATCTTGGTCTTAAGAAAGATCGGCCTCACTCCTAACCCAGGATGACTTAAAAGTGGTCTTTGCAAATGTTAGGACTAGGGTGGGCATGGGAACTAAGTCCAATCAATGTGAACTGAGGGAAAATGGGTTTACTATGCTGTATGTTTAACCAGAAGTACATATTTTTAATCACTATATAACATTTAGTTGTGTGAAAGTCCTTAATTTTTGGAAATTTAAAACATTTCACTTATGGCAAAAGGTAAAAGCTGAGAAACCTAGTATGCTTTTACTTTCTATCTCTCACCTTATTAATTACATTTTAGGATACTAAAACATAATATAGCACTTTAGGTCCAGATTACTATTACTTCATATTTTATGTCATGTTGCTTTTTTCAAGGATTATTTTTGATATGCAGCCTTTTTATTAAACACATTCAAAGCAATATTTCCTTCTTCCCTTCTTCCCCCAACCCTTCCTTTTTTTCTTCTCTCCTTCTCTCTGTCTCTTACTCCTCCACCCACCTTCTCATTCTTGCTACATGGCTCACTAGCATTTCTTTTTAAACAATTTTAAATTTTAGTTTTTTTGGGGGTACATAGTAGGTGTATGTATTTATGGGTTACATGAGATATTTTGATACAGGCATGCAATGTGTAATAATCACATTATAGTAAATGGGGTATCCATCACATCAAGCATTTATCCTTTGTGTTACAAACAATCTAATTATATTCTTTTTTTTTTTTTTTTTTTTTTTTTTTTGAGACGGAGTCTCGCTCTGTCGCCCAGGCTGGAGTGCAGTGGCGGGATCTCGGCTCACTGCAAGCTCCGCCTCCCGGGTTCACGCCATTCTCCTGCCTCAGCCTCCCGAGTAGCTGGGACTACAGGCGCCCGCCACTACGCCCGGCTAATTTTTTGTATTTTTAGTAGAGACGGGGTTTCACCGTTTTAGCCGGGATTCTTTTAGTTATTTTAAAATGTATGATTAAATTATTCTTGACTTTAGTCATCCTGTTGTACTAGCAAATACTGGGTCTTAATCATTCTTTGTGACTATTATATATTTATTTATTTTACCAACTAACCATCCCCACTTCCCCCACTAAACCCCCACCACCCTTCCCAGTCTCTGGTAACCATCCTTCTACCATCTATCTCCATGAGTTCAATTGTTTTAATTTTTAGCTCCCACAAATAAGTGAGAACATGTGAAGTTTGTCTTTGTCTGCCTGGCTTTTTTCACTTAACACAATGACCTCTAGTTCCATCTATGTTGCTGCAAATGACAGGATCTCATTCTTTTTTTGTGGTGAATAGTACTCCATTTTGTATATGTACCACATTTTATTTATCCATTGTCTGTTGATGGGCACTTAGGTTGGTTACAAATCTTGGCTATTGTGAATTGTGCTGCAATAAACATGGGAGTGCAGATAACTATTCAATATACTGATTTCTTTTCTTTTGGGTATATATCTAAGAGTAGGATTGCTGGATCATACAGTAGCTCTATTTTTAGTTTTTTTGAGGAACTTCTAAATGTTTCCCATAGTGGTTGTACTAATTTACATTCCCACCAACAGTGTACTAGAGTCCCCTTTTCTCCACATCCTCACTAGCATTTGTTATTGCCTGCCTTTGAACATAAGTCATTTCAACTGAGATGAGATGATATCTCATTGTAGTTTCGATTTACATTTCTCTGATGATCCATGATGTTGAGCACCTTTAAATATACCTGTTTGCCATTTGTCTGTCTTCTTTTGAGAAATGTCTATCCAGATATTTTGCCCATCTTTCGATTGGATTATTAAATTATTTCCTATAGAGTTGTTTGAGCTCCTTATATATTCTGGTTATTAATCTCTTGTCAGATGGGTATTTTGAAAATATTTTCTCCCATTCTCTTTACTTTGTTGATTCCCTTGCTGTGCAGAAGCTTTTTAATTTGATGTGATCCCATCGTCCATTCTGGCTTTGGTTGTCTATGCTTGTGGGATATTACGCAAGAAATCTTTGCCCAGCTCTGTGTCCCAGAGAGTTTCCCCAATGTTTTCTTATAGTAGTTTTGTAGTTTGAGGTCTTAGACTTAAGTCTTTAATCCATTTTGATTGGATTTTTTGTATATGGAGAGAGATATAATCTAGTTTTATTCTTCTGCATATGGATATTTAGTTTTCCCAGCACCATTTATTGAAGAGACTGTCCTTTCCTCAGTGCATGTTCTTGGCGCCTTTGTAAAAAATGAGTTTACTGTAGGTGAATGAATTTATTTCTGGGTTCTCTATTCTGTCCGCTTGGTGTATGTGTCTGTTTTTATGCTAGTACCATTCTGTTTTGGTTACTATTATTCCGTAGTATAATTTGAAGTCAGATAATATGATTCCTCCAGTTTTGTTCTTTTTACTTAGTATAGCTTTGGCTCCTCTGGGTCTTTTGTGGTTCCATATAAATTTCAGGATTGTTTTTTTCTATTTCTATAAAAAATGTCATTGGTATTTTTATAGGGATCGCATTGAATCTGTGGATTGCTTTGGGTAGTATAGACATTTTAACAATATTGATTCTTCTGATCCATGAACATGGAATATCTTTTCAATTTTTTTTGTGCCCTCTTCAATTTCTTGCATCAATGTTTCATAGTTTTCATTGCAGAGAACTTTTACTTCTTTGGTTAATTCCTAGGAATTTAATTTTATTTGTGGCTATTGTAAATGGGATTACTTTTCTGATTTCTTTTTCAGACTGTTCACTTTTGGTGTATAGAAATGCTACTGATTTTTGTATGTTGATTTTGTATCCTGCAATTTTACTGAATTTGTTTATCATTTACGTGGTGGAGTCTTTAGTTTTTTTTCAAATATAAGATTATATCATCTGCAAACATGGATACTTTGATTCCTTCCTTTCCAATTTGGATGCCCTTTATTTCTTTCTCCTGTGTGATTGTTCAGTTAGAACTTCCAGTACTGTGTTTAATAATAGTGGTGAAAGTGGGCACCCTTGTAGTCTTCCAGATCTTAGAGAAAAATCTTACAGTTTTTCCCTATTCAGTATACTAGCTGTTGCTAGCTTTTGGGTTTTTTGTACATATGGTTTTTATTATGTTGAAGTATGCTCCTTCTAGACCCAGTTTTTTGAGGGTTTTTATGATGAAGGGATGTTGAATTTTATTACTTTTTTTTTTTGTCGAAGTCTTGCTTTGTTGCCCAGGCTGGAGTGCAGTGGTGTGATCTTGGCTCACTGTAACCTCCGCCTCCTGGGTTCACACCATTCTCCTGCCTCAGCCTCCTGAGTAGCTGGGACTACAGGTGCCTGCCACCACACCTGGCTAATTTTTTGTATTTTTAGTAGAGGTGGGGTTTCACCATGTTAGTCAGGATGGTCTCGATCTCCTGACCTCGTGATCCACCTACCTTGGCCTCCCAAAGTGCTGGGATTACAGGCCTGAGCCACCGTGACTGGCCCTTTATCAAATACTTTTTAAAGCATTATTTGAAATGACCATATGGTTTTTGTCATTCATTCTGTTGAGATGATGTATCACATTGATTGATTTGTTTGTGTAGCAACCTCCTTGTATTCCTGGTTTTTTTTTTTTTTTTTTTTTTTTTTTTTTTTTGAGACAGAGTCTCACTTTGTCACACAGGCTGGAGTGTGGTGGCAAGAACAGGTCTGGTGCTGATGAAATTCCTCAGCTTTTGTTTGTCTGGGAAAGTCTTTATTTCTCCTACATGTTAGAAGGATATTTTCACTGGGTATACTATTCTAGGGTAAAAGTTTTTTTTCTTTCAGCCCTTTAAATATGTCATGACACTCTCTCCTGGCCTGTTAAGTTTCCACTGAAAAGTCTGCTGCTGAATGTATTGGAGCTGCATTGCATGTTATTTCTTTGTTTTCTCTTGCTGCTTTTAGGATCCTTTCTTCATCCATATTAAATCTATTCTATAACCACCTTATATTTGGACATTGATATCTTTCTCTAGATTTGGGAAGTTCTCTGTTATTATCCCTTTGAATAAACTTTCTACCCCATTTCTCTACCTCCTCTTTAATGCCAATAACTCTCTTAGGTATGCCCTTTTGAAGTTATTTTCTAGATCTTGTTGGTGTGCTTTATTGTTTTTATACTTTTGTCTTTTGTCTCTTCTGACTGTATTTTCAAATAGTCTATCTTCAAGCTCTTTAAGTCTTTTTCTTTTGCTTGATCAATTCTGCTATTAAGAGACTGTGATGCATTCTTCAGTATGTCAGTTGCATTTTTCAACTCCAGCATTTCTGTTTGATTCTTTTTAATTATTTAAATCTTTTCTTACGTTTATCTGATAGAATTCTGAATTCCGTCTCTGTGTTATCTTGAATTTCTTTGAGTTTCTGCCACACAGCTATTTTGAATTCTTTGTCTGAAGGGTCACATATCTGTGTTTCTCCGGGGTTGGTCCCTGGTGCCTTATTTAGTTCATTTGGTGAGGTCATATTTTCCTAGATGGTCTTGATGCTTGTGGATGTTTGTTGGTGTCTGGGCATTAAAGAGTTAGGTATTTATTGTAGTCTTCACAGTTGGGCTTGTTTGTACCCATCCTTCTTGGAAAGGTTTTCCATGTATTGAAAGGACTTGGGTGTTGTGATCTAAGCTGTATCTGCTTTAGGGGACACCCCAGCCAGGTCTTGTGGACTTGTAGAGGTTCCACCTTGGTGGTCTTGGATAAGATCCAGAAGAATTATCCGGATTACCAGACAGAGACTCTTGTTCTCTTCTGTTACTTTCTCCTAAACAAAAAGAGTCTCACTCTTTGTGCTGAGTTGCCTGTAGCTGGAGGTTGGGTGACACAAGCACCCCTGTGGTCACCACCAGTGGGACTGTGCTGGGTTAGACCTGAAGCAAGCATAGCACTGGGTCTCACCCAAGGCCTGCTATAACTACTACCTAACTATTGCCTATTCACTCAGGACCTAGGACTCTACAATCATCAGGTAGTGAAGCCAGCCAGGCTTCTGTCCTTCCCTCCAGAGTGGTGAGTTCTTCCAGGTCCTGGGCAGGTCCAGAGATGTCATCTGGGAGCCAGGGACTGGAGTTAAAAACCTTAGAAATCTACCTGGTGTGCTATTATATGGTAGCTGAACTGGCACTCAAACCACCAGACACAGTCCTTCCTGCTTTTTCCTCCCTTTTCCACAGGGAGAGAAACCTCACCCTGTGGCCACCACCACCACGGGGCCATGGGGAGTACTACCAGGCTACCACCTGTGTTCACTTAAGGCCCAAGGGCTCTTTAGTCAGCTTATGACATATACGGCCTGGCCTGGGACTCACTCTTTAGGCAGTGGACTCCCCTCTGGCCCAGGGCAGGTCCAGAAAGGCCATGAAAGAGCCAAAGCCTGGAATCAGAGACTCTAAGAGCCTGCTTGAGGCTTTACTCCACTGTGTCAAGCTGGTACCTGGTTTTTGGTTCTTTTCTGTATAGATAGTTGTGAAATTTGGTGTTACTGTTGGGTGGTGGGGGTCAGTTGGTGGGGCCTTCTCTTCAGCCATTTTGCTTTGCTTCACTAGCATTTCTATAATGCTTTATATTTCTCCCCTTCCATATGAACAGTAACTCTGGGTTCCAATATTCTTTCCTTGAAACTTTCTTGTTGTTGCGTCTTTGTCTTCTGACATACTGTTTTGGGAAATAAGTCTCATGGTAGCCTGATATATTTTTCTTAAATTTATATTTTAAGAATAATTTTAATCAAAATATATAAAAAAACTCTCTTGGAAAATCCATCAGATACTTGAATAAATCATAGTCAGCTGAGTCATTGATGACACTTTCAAGAAAAGGTAACAAGATATATTATTTCAAATGCTGTATAATTCCACAACTAATCCTCACCAACATTTGGTATTGTCAGTCTTTTTAATTTTAGTCATTTTAATGGGTAGGTAGTGGTATCTCCTTGTGATTTTAATCTGCATTTTCCTGATGACTAATGCTGTTGAACATCTTTTCATATGCTCAGTGGCCATTCCTATAACTTCTTTTGTGAAATGTCTGTTTAACTCTTTCACCATTTTTTTTGGCTACAGTTGGATTTTATTTTTTGTTTCCAATGTCCTTTTTAATGTTACAGTCAGCATTCTATTGGACTTTTTAATGACAGAAATATATTAAATTTTATTTTTGGCAGAATCTTAATATCTCTTGAGTATCATTATTAGCCCAGAATCCTATAAGTCTAGTTTGGATTATTTTACTCTCCAAGTTTTACCTTGCATTTGTTTATAGTGAAATACTTAAAAAGTTTCAATAGCTTTTGGGGTACAAGTGGTTTTGGTTACATTAATGAACTCTATAATGGTGAATTCTGAGAGTTTAGTGCACCTGTCAGCCAAGCAGTGTACACTGTACCCAATATGTAGTCTTTTTTATCTTTCTCCCCTCTCCCACCCTCCCTGAGTCCCCAAAGTCCATTATATCATTCTGTATATCTGTGCTTCCTCACAGCTTAGCTCCCACTTACTAAGAAGATATGGTATTTGGTTTTCTGTATTTGGTATATGGTGAATTCTTATGATTTATCTATATATCTGGCTCTTTTTGTGAGTCCATGAACTTTGGTCCCAATTATGTCAGATAAAAAGAATTCTACAGCATCTGAAGGAATTTGATAATGTAACTGAGGTGAATCTGGCAACTACCTTTGAGGTAGGTTAATTACCCCATAAATGTAGATGAGCACATTGGGATGCAGAGGGATTATTGCCCAATATATATACATTATATGGAAAACTCCAATGGAGAACAAAGCAGTATCTGCCTCAATGTGACCAGTTATTTTCTTCCTCTCTCTGGAATTTGTTGTTAAAAGTCTTTTACCAGTAATAAAAGCCATCTATGACAAACCCACAGCCAACATCAAACTGAATGAAGAAAAGTTGAAAGCATTTCCCCTGAGAACTGGAGCAAGACAAGGATGCCCACTTTCACCACTTCTATTCAACATAGTACTGGAAGTCCTAGCCAGATCAATCAGACAAAAGAAAGAAAGGACATCCAAATTGGAAAACAGGAAGTCAAACTGTCACTGTTTTCTGATAATATGATTTCATACCTAGAAAAACCTAAAGACTCATCAAAAAAGCCCCTAGATCTGATAAATTCAGTAAAGTTTCTGGAATCAAAATCAATGTACACAAATCAGTAGCACTGCTATACACCAACAATGACCAAGCTGAGAATCAAATTAAGAACTCAATCCTTTCACAGCAGCTGCAAAACAAAACAAAACAAAACAAAATACATAGGAATATACTTAACCAAGGAGTCTCTCTCTGTGCTGAGAGAGAGTCTCTTAGGAGGCGAAAGATCTCCACAAGGAAGACTACAAAACACTGCTGAAAGAAATCCTAGATGACACAAACAAATGAAAACACATTTCATGCTCATGGATGAGTAGAATCAATATTGTGAATATGACCATACTGCCAAAAGCAATCTACAAATTCAGTGCAATTCCCATTAAAATAGCATCATCATTTTTCACAGAATTAGAAAAAAAATTCTGAAATTTATGTGGAACAAAAAAGAGCCCACATAGGCAAAGCAATACTAAGCAAAAAGAACACATATGGAGGCATCACATTACTTGACTTCAAAGTATACTACAAAGCTATAGTTACCAAAACAGCATGGTACAGTTTGACTTCCTCATTTCCCAATTGCATACCCTTTATTTCTTTCTCCTGACTGACTGCCCTGGCCAGAACTTCCAACACTATGTTGAATAGGAGTGGTGAGAGAGGGCATCCCTGTCTTGTGCCAGTTTTCAAAGGGAATGCTTCCAGTTTTTGCCCATTCAGTATGATATTGGCTGTGGGTTTGTCATAAATAGCTCTTATTATTTTGAGATATGTCCCATCAATACCTAATTTATTGAGAGTTTTTAGCATGAAGGGCTGTTGAATTTTGTCAAAGGCCTCTTCTGCATCTATTGAGATAATCAATGTTGAACCAGCCTTGCATCCCAGGGATGAAGCCCACTTGATCATGGTGGATAAGCTTTTTGATGTGCTGCTGGATTCGGTTTGCCAGAATTTTACTGAGGATTTTTGCATCGACGTTCATCAGGGATATTGGTCTAAAATTCTCTTTTTTTGTTGTGTCTCTGCCAGGCTTTGGTATCAGGATGATGCTGGCCTCATAAAATGAGTTAGGGAGGATTCTCTCTTTTTCTGTTGATTGGAATAGTTTCAGAAGGAATGGTACCAGCTCCTCTTTGTACCTCTGGTAGAATTTGGCTGTGAAGCCATCTGGTCCTGGACTTTTTTTGGTTGGTAGGCTATTAATTATTGCCTCAATTTCAGAACCTGTTATTGGTCTTGTATACAATTTCTGATTGCCAGGGAGACTGTATATTTTGAAGTTCCATTTTGTTGTTCAGGATCAAAGCTATAGTATATATGCTCTGATATTTCCAAGAGCTTTTATAGGATGAACAGATTTGTTTGTCCTCTGCACAATAATAGACCAATGCAGTGAGACAGCAAGGTTTGCAGCAGAAGAAGAATTTACTGATCACAGGTCACCAAGTGAGGAGATGTGAGAAGGCCCTCAAATCCATCTTCCCAGAGAGTCTTGGCCTGAGATTTTTAAGGGGATTGTGGAGGGCAAGGGGCTGGAAAATTGGAATTGTTGATAGGTCAGAGCAAGAGGGATGAAATCATCAGATGTGCAAACTGCATTCTCTGGGCTGGGCAGTGTGGCTCACGCCTGTAATCCCAGCACTTTGGGAGGCCGAGGTGGGCGGATCACGAGGTCAGGAGATCGAGACCATCCTGGCTAATATGGTGAAACCCTGTCTCTACTAAAAATACAAAAAAATTAGCTGGGCATGGTGGCGGGCGCCTGGAGGCTGAGGCAGGAGAATGGCATGAACCTGGGAGGCGGAGCTTGCAGTGAGCCGAGATCGTGCCACTGCACTCCAGCCTGGGCGACAGAGCGAGACTCCGTCTCAAGATAAACAAAAAAACAAAAACAAAAGAAAACAAAAAAAAAAACCTGCATTCTCTGGTGAGTCAGTTCCTTGTGGGGTTCTTCAGATCAGCTGATGTCAGTAGTTTCACTGGTATGTAGAACCTGAAAGAATATCTCAAAGGGAAAACAATGTTTTATAATGTTCGAGTTGTTATCCACAGAGCAGTTAAAGGGAATTATTACTTAGGTTCCATGTGATTCTAGAACAATAGGCACTAAACAACTATGAGGAAGCAGGTCAGAGAGCAAGCTGATCTAATGATTAATGCTGAATGTGCTAGAAGCTTGGTTTATTTTTGTTTCTCCCCCTCCCTTATTCTCTGATTAATTTTATAAAGTTTATAGGGATGGTTTCAGAGCCTCACAGGCAGCTTCTCCCTGTGCTCATGAGTCCAGGGGCAAAGGGGAAGGTCATGCACTATATTCTCTGTCCATTTCTCAGATGTTTTTTAGGTGCCACACAAAACTCCTCCTTTCTTAATCAGTCAAGAACAACAACAACAAAAAACACTCACTTGCAAATTGATTTATGCAAATTACTTCCCTTGGCCTCCCACTGTTTTACCAGACATTTGCAGATAGATGTGTTTGGATCTCAGTTTGGGCCCATTTGTTAATTAGTAAAACATTCATCATGCTCACATGCATATGGGTTTCTGATGATTTTGGTTCACTGTCAAAATAAAAAACCTTACCCCTAAATTAAAAGGATCCTTATGAAATATTAAAGCTGTTTTAATGAGTTTTCACTTAATCACTTTTCATGTGGGCCAGGTTTGGTAAATGTCAAGGGTACTAGTTATAGGGATTTTGAATGACCCTCAATGGCTCTCTGAATTTGGGCAGAACCCATCTGGCTATTTGAAGATTTCAGCATATGGGCCATTGCATATCCAGTAATCACTTGATAGACTCAAATTATAACTAGCATTCTCATCACTCAAAGGTCCTGGTTTTCCATTGGTTCTTTGTAGTTGGCAGTAAACCTCACAGCAGATGTTTTTTTTTCTTTGGCTTTGATGCATGTGAGGTAGGAGAAGAGGATAAATCTGGCTTTTTTTGGTGAATCTTCATGATCTTTAGTCAAGAAGAAAAAGACCAACTACTTATGAAAAACAGTGTAGACTCTCCACAGTATAAAGCTCGTTTGAGTAAGTGGAAAATGAATATGTAAGAAATTACATCAAAAACTACAATTAAAAGGAATGATCTAATCTCAGCAGAGAACAGTTGATGTTTTGGAGATTTTTGTCTTTGTTTCACTTTATGAGATACCAGAAAGTTCATTTTTATGCATGCAAAGGAGTGTATCACTCATATGCCATTATTCTCTGTGTCTGTGTCTGGTATCTCCTGATGCCCAAACCACATGGAATGCTTTTAAGATAGAGTCTAAAAAATTTAGACACTTGCTGACTTGTAATTAACAATCAAGTGCTGTTATATTTTGAGAATCTTATTGCAATGACACAGGGCTCTCCTTATGGTCTGCAGTCACTTGTGTTATAATAGTATCTCATCTTATTAAAAATTGACAGTGTTTCTGCATGAATACTGTTGAGTGTTCCAATAGTTTGGTAAGGAAGATAGAGCAGATATTAATACATTTTTCTATGTAAATAAGAAAATGAAGAGTCTATCATGAATTGTGAAGGCTCTGAGATTTTACTTGTGAACTAACAGGTTAGCTTGTTACTGCGTTCTGGAAGCTGGCAGAAGACATGACATTTTCATGCCTTCATTTATGAAATTGGGATATTAGGGTCCTTATGAAGATTAAATAAAAATACATTTATTATTATTATTTTTAATAAAAATACATTTAAAGAACACAAGGAAACCTGACATTTCGTAGGCAATCAATAAATATAAACTACTATTATTATATGTTTTTATTTAGGCCATCTAAAGTGCTTTTTTGGAATGGGGGATAATATATAAAATAAGAATATTTTTAAAAACATAACCTCCTTGAAGTTATTATAGTGTGATGCTAATAGTGTCTTCTACTTTTATGATTTTTGAATTAAAACATGAAATTCCAGAAATAACTGAGGAATGCTCAATTATTGATTGTAATGCTATATCCATAAAAATAATTATTCTCTGAATATATTATATCCAATTTAAAAATAAAATTTGTTGCAATTTTCTTTTTACAAGAGCAATTGCAGTCATTTCTTGATATATGCAGGGGATTGGTTCCAGGACCCCCATGTATATCAAAATCCACACATACTCAAGTCCTGCAGTTGATCCTGTGGAATCCATGTATAGGAAAAGTCAGTCCTTTGTATGCATGAGTTTTGCATCATGCAAATTCTGTATTTTCCCTTCCCTGTTTGTTTGAAAAATATCTGCATATAAGCAGACCCATGCAGTTAAAACCCTGTTGTTCAAAGGTCAAAGTACTTTATTGATTTAACATTTGGGAGCTCTTATTTTGTATCAGCAATGTGCTCTTTCTGAGGGCACCACTGTGAAGAAAATGTAGCCCCTCCGCAAGGAGCCCACAGTCTAGTAGAAAATACTGGGAGATGAACAGATTAGTATTTTTCAGAATAAGAAAACTGGAAGACACATAAAAACATAAGGAAAGAAAAATCATACATAACCTCACTTATTCTTCAAATTTTGATTTTTTTCTTCCAGTCCTTTTTCTTATGTGGGTATTTTTAACATATATATCATATGTATGATTTGTCTACTGTTTTTTCTTACCATTGTATTGTGTGCATTTACTCATATAATTAAATAATTTTAGAAAACATGATTTGACTGGCTGGTATTATATATCACATATCACAATTAATTTCACTGTCATTCCCTTTGTTGTAACTTTATGTTTCTAGTTTCTCACTATTATAGCTAAAACTTGATAAATATTTTCTATATAAATCTTTGTGTGAATTTCTGATTTTTTCTGCAGCATAATAACTTTCTAAAATAAGTAGAAATGGCATATAAATATCAAGACATGGATTACTATGTTTTTCTTTTTAATTTTAGATTTAGTGGGTACATGTGCAGGTTTGTTACTAGGGTGTATTGCATGATGCTGAGGTTTGAACTTCTATTGACCCTTTCACCCAAATAGTGAACACAGTACCCAATAGGTAGTTTTTCAACCCTTGGTCCGCTCCCTCCCTCCCCTCTTTCGAGTTCCAGTGCTTATTGTTCTTATGAATGACCACTTTAAAGGTGTGTAATAGATATTGCCTAATTCCTTGTAGAAAGTTTGTACCAACTTACACTATCAATAGTATAAGAAAATGCAAATTATGCTACATTCCCAATACTAGTTTCATTTTATTTTGCCTATTTTATAGGTAAAAATATAAATCATAGTTTAAGTTTTCATTTCTTTGGGCACTAATAAGGGTGAATAGTTTCTGTTGATTTGTGTTTTCGTTTTAGTTATTTGAATAAAATTGAGGTTTTCATACCTTTTTTGACCTGCTGAATTGCCTCTTTTGTTCTTTGTCAATTTTTTATTGTCATATTCTTTTTTTCTTATTGAAATTTGTGTAGTAAGAACGTTCTTCCCATTTTCTTTTTTCTAGAATGCAGAGGGAATAAAGGAATAGAAATTCAGAGAGAAGATGTAAGAGAGTGTGTAGGCTCTGAGAAAAAGAAGAAGAATGTCTGTAAGGCAGCTGCTATTCTTATCCCATTATACAGATGAAAGAAAGGACACTTATAGAATCTAACCTTTTGTAATTGTTGTAGTTGAGTTTACTTGGAGGTAGCCAGTAAATCTCAGGAGTCGGATTTAGATGTTTAGGATGCTAAAGTCTGTACTCTTGATTAAATCTTCATCCATGTCAGTATACTGATTCCTTCCTTCTCTCTTTGCTTCTACAGAAGTTACCAAGGCCATTCATTCTTTTTTGATCTTTCATGTCCACAGTAACAATGTCCACATTGTTACTGTGGACATGAAATTGGAAATGTGGTTGGAACTGGAAAAAGAGTAGGGCTGACATGATTTGATTTATCTTTTTATATCATTGTATTGTATTGTTTCACTGGTTACAACTAGCAAGTGTACTTTGAAAAATGTCAAATGAGGAAAGTGTAGTGGATGTTGCAGAAGCTTCAGTGCACGTTTCTATCCCTGTTTATTTGAGAAAAATATCCTGTTGTTGGCGTGTTGAGTGTTCTATAAATGTCAGTTAGATCTGTTAGTTGACATTGTAGTTAAGTTCTATGTCTGTTTAATAGTTCAATCATTTGTTGAGAGAAGGGTGTTCAATCTCCAGCTATAATTGTGGACTTGCTTGCTTCTCCTTTCAGTTTTATCAGTTCTTGCTTCACTTATTTTACAGTTATGCTTTTTGGTGCATACAAAAACTTAGAATTGCTATGCCTTTTTGGTGGATTGACTCTTTTATCATTATATATTGTCTCTCTTTATCTCTGGTAATTTTCTTTCTTCTACAGTCTACCTTATCTGATATTAATATCACAATTCTTGCTTTATTTTGACTAATTCTTGGTATATTTTTTCCATCACTTAATGTTTAATTTGTTATAATTTTCATGGGCTTTTAAAAAGACAGTGTCTTGGTCTGTTTGTGATGTTATAACAAAATACCTGAAAATTGAGGTTATCATACCTTTTTTGACCTGTTGAATTGCCTTTTTTGTTCTTTGTTAATCTTTTTATTAAAAACTGGGTAATTGAAACTGAACAACAGAAATTTCTCACAGTTCTAGAGACTGGGAAGTCAAAGATCAAGGTGCCAGAAGTTTCAGTATCAAGCAAAGGCCTGGTTTCTGCTTCCAAGATAGCTCTTTGAGTGCTGTGTCCTCACATGGTGGAACAGCAGAAGGGCAAACAAGGACTAAGCCATTTTCTTCAGACGTTTCATAAGGTACTAATATATTGATGGAAGTGGTTCTCTTATGACTTAATCACATCTCAAAAAGCCTCAACTCTTAATAGCACCACAATGAGGATTAAGTTTTAACATGAATTTTGGAGGAGGCAGAAACATTCAAACCATACCAGAGCATAGAATTGTGTCATTCTTATCCATTTTGCCAATTCTTGTATTTTAGCTGGTATATTTAGACCTTTTATATTTAATGTAGTTTTTGACATATTTATGTCTAAGCCTGACATTTAATTATTTATTTTGTTTGTTCTCCCTTTTTTCATTTATCTGTTTTCATTTTCTTTCTTGTGGGTTACTTCAACATATTTTAGAATTTCAATTTGATTTAGGTATAGTGCTTTTGTGTGCATCTACTGGTGTCAACATTTTAGTAGTTAAAGTGAAGAGTACCTTCATTTAGGTGTCTTTGCCCTTCCTCTTTTTAACATAATTGTCTTAAGTAATTCCTCTATATATGTTGAAAATCACATCAGATGATGTTATAAATTTTCTTCAACCATCAAAAGTAATTTAGAAAACTCAGGAGGAAAGTATATTATATTATTTATATTTTATTATTTCTCTTCTTTTTAAATTTATTTCTGATGTTCTAAGCTTGCTTTTATTATCATTTCTTTCTATTTGAAGAATTTTATTATTTTAAGGTAAGACTGCTGATGACAAATTTTCTTAGTTTTTTTAAATCTGAGAATATCTTGATTTCTTGAAAGATATTCTAGAAATCCTGGATTGACAGGTGTTTGGTTTCTTCCCCCAGCTCTTAAAAGATGTTGTGACACTTTCTCCTGGCCTCCATGGTTTCCAGTAAAAATCTACTGTCATCAAAATCATTGTTTCTCTAAGGCAATGCATCGTTTTCCTCTGCTGCATTCAATAAATTTTCTTTATGTCTAGTGTTCAGAAGTTTGATTATAATGTGTTTTGTCATGGATTTATTTGGGTTTATGCTGTTTGAGATTCATTTTGCTTTATGAATCTTTATGTTTATGTCTTTTGCCATATTAGGGAGATGTGTAAGCTCTATTTCCTTTAATACTTTTCCAGTTCCACATTCTTTCTTTTGCCCATCCAGGACTCCAATGAAATGAATGTTAGATCTTTTATTATTCTACAGATCCCTGAGGTTATGTTAATTTTTTCATCTATTTTCTTTATATGTTTAGTTTGGCTCATATTTATTGCTCTGTCTTCAAGTTTATTGACTATTTTCTCTCTCCTCTTTATTCTTCTGTTGAGCCCATTCAATGAGTTTTCTATTTTGGTCATTGTATCTTTCAGTTCTAAAATTTCCATTTGGTTTGTCTTTATATTATTTATTTATATCACTGGAACTTTCTAGTTTGCATTTTTTGTAAGCATATTCATAATTGCTTGTTGAAGGAATTATAGGATGGTCATTAAAAAATTCTCATCAGATAATCTAATATCTGTGTCGTCTTGGTATGGGCATCTGTTAATTGCCTTTTCTCATTCAAATTGAGATTTTCCTTGTTCTTAGTATGACAATAGATTTTCATGTCATTGTATTATGAGATTGTAGATCTTATTTAAATATTCTTTTAGCAGCCTGACCCCAGGAAATACTAATGGGCACAGATCAAAAGCCCTCCTCCTGCAAAGTTTGCTTTCCCTAGATGAAGGACTGGGTAAAGGGCAACTTAGCAAGAGCAAGCTTTTGTCAATAACTGCCTTATTCCAACTAAGCACCAGGGAAACCACAAATCCCCTCTTACTTTAGGCAACAAAGACTGAGTTGGGAGCCCAAACTTTTACTCTCATTTCGTGATATGAAGGCTTTGTATGATTTCTACTCTTCTAAATGTGTTGAAGTTTGTTTTATGGCTCAGAATATGACCTATCTTGGTGTATGTTTTATGTGCACTGGAAAATAATGTGTATTTTTCTATTGCTGGATGGAGGGTCCTATATGTGATTTAGGTCTAGTTGGTTTATAGTGTTTAATTCTGAAGGGAATGTTGACGTTTTCAATTAAAATTGTGGATTTGTTAATTTTCTCTTTCAGTTCCATCAGTTTTTGCCTCTATAATTGGAGCTCTGTTGTTAACTGCATACATAAATTGTTATGTATTCTTGGAGGATTGACATTATATAGTGTTCTCCTTTATTCCTAATGTTATTCATTTTCTGAAGCTTGTTTTGTCTGATAGTAATATAGTTATCCAGCTTTCATTTGTAGAATTTTTGCAAGGTATATCTTTCTCTACCCTTTTCATTTTTACTTATATGTCTTTAAACTTAAAGTCAACTTCTTGTAGATAACATATATTTTGGTCTTGCTTTTTAAATCCAATATGAAATTGTTGTCTTTTAAACTACTCTTCTTAAATCATTCACATTTAATGTGATCATTGATAGAGTTGAATTAAAATGTACCATTTTGCTGGTTATTTTCCACTTCTTCCATCTGTTTCTTTGCTTCCCTGCCCCCTTTTCTACCTAGAGCATTAAAAAAAAATTATTCTGTCTCCTCTACTGACATTATTTGTACCATTAAAAATTTTATTTTCGTTCAACCCAGGGCTTTTGACATATGTATGAAACATATCTTCAAATTATATTATACTGCTCCATGTGTAGCATGAAGACCTTATTACTGTATATTCTCAATTCCTTTTTCCCCATCCTTTGTGCTATTGTCATTTCTTTTACTATTTTTATATGCTATAAACATATAATATATTGCTATTATTTTTGCTACAAAGCAATTAAAAATAAGAAAATATTAATTTAATTTATATTTATCTATTTATTTCCTGTATTTTGATTTCTTTTGTAGATCAAATTTTCATTCTGATTAATTTAAATTTATATTTATCTATTTATTTCCTGTATTTTGATTTCTTTTGTAGATCAAATTTTCATTCTGATTAATTTAAATTTATATTTATCTATTTATTTCCTGTATTTTGGTTTCTTTTGTATATCAAATTTTCTTTCTGATATATTATTTATGCCTGAAGAATTTTTGAATTTCTTTTAAGAATTTTATTACAAGTTGACAAACTATAATTGTATATATTCATGGGGAACACAGTGATGTTATGATTTATACATTCCATGTGGAGTAATTAAGTCAAGCTAATTCACATATCCATTACCTCAAATACGTATCCTTTCTGTGATGAGAACATTTGAAATTTACTCTTTTAGCAACTTAGAAATATATAATACACTATTATTAACTATATTCACTATACTGTAGAATAGATCTAAAGAAACCTTATTCCTCCTGTCTAACTGAGACCTTGTACCCTTTGACTGTCATCTCCCCTACTCCCTAAAACTCCCAGTCTCTGGCAATCACTATTCTACTCTCCACTTCTGCAAATGTCATTGTTTTAGATTCCACATAGAAATGAGAACATGCAATATTTGTCTTTCTGTGCCTGGCTTATTTTGCTTAACACAGTGTCCTCCAGGCTCACTTGTGTTTTTGTAAATGACAGAACTCCTTTCTTTTTAAAGGCTGTATAGTATTCTATTGTGTGTATACACCACACCTTCTTTATCCACTCATCTGTTGGTGGAAACTTAGGTTGATTTCACAACTTGGCTATTGTGACTAGCGCTGCAATAAACATGGGAGTGCAGACATCTCTCTGACAAATTGATTTCAAATCAATTGAGGATAGAATCTTCCAAAACGGCTGTACAAATTTATATTTCTACGAACAGTGTACAAGGAGAAATTTAATATTTCTTGTACAGTAGGTCTGCTGGAAACAAGTTTCCTCAGTTTTTGTTTAAAAAGTCTTTATTTTTCCTTCATTTTTGAAAAATGTTTTTGCTGGGTATAGATTTTTGGGTTGAGAGATTTTTCTTTCACCACTTTAATGGTATTGTCTTCTGGCTCAGATGTTTCTGATAAGAAGTTTGTTGTAATTATTATGTTTATTCATCTATATATAAAGTTTCTTTTATATTTGATTGTCTTTCAAGAATTTCTCATTGTCTTTGTTTTAGCAGTTTGAATATGTTATGTCTAGATCTTTTTTTGTTTTGGTATTTATCATGGTTGGTATTTTCTGAGTTTCTTAGATATACTGTTTCATGGCTGTTATAAATTTTAGAAAACTCTTGGTCATTATTTCTTTGCATATATTCTTCTGCCCCTTTTTCTCTTTCTTGTCCTCCAGAATATTACTGCCTAGCTCTTGGATTTTCTATTCTTTTGAAAGTTTATATTCATTTTTTTTCCTTGCGGGATTTCATTTGTGGTAATTGCTCTTACTTACCTTTCTTCAAGTCTATTTGTGTTGAGTCTACAAATGAGCTGTTAAAGATGTTATTTGTCTCTGTTATGGTTTTATATTTTTTCTATCACCTCTCTGATGAAATTACCCCTCTGATCTTGGATGTGTTCTACTTTTCAATTAGAACCTTTAACATATCAATCAAAGTTGTTTTAAATTCCCTTTCAAATAGCTCCAGTGTCTGGGGAAGAAGCTAGGTTTTGCATAGGGCTTTGAGAAGTGTTCTGAGCTGTTTATCGCTATGTAAGTTCATAGAGAATCATCACGGACCAGCAAACTCACTTGGCTACCTTGCCAGAAGTAAAACTGAAATAATAAGGCAGAAGAAACACTCTGATACTCTCTCTGTTAGAATATGATTCTCACTAGAATACTCAAATGTGGTAAGGCTAATTTCACAACTCTAAATTCATACTCTCCTAATCACAAGAGCTTTACCCCTCCTCTAGCTCCTATATAAATGTTCTGAGCATTAATGTAAGTATAATTTTTGAGGGTATTAAATCTTCTTTTCTTTTTGACCCAATTTGTTAGAAATGCTTCTTTTTCCCTGTCATAATCTTCCCTCACTTATTTCCACAGGAAATATTTCTTTAGAAAATGCTCTAAGGCTCCAGTGCATGGCCAGGCAACTAACACCAAGATTTAAAAAATACGGTGATGTTTTTAATCTCTAAAACAGTGATCCTCAAAAATTATGTGGGTGGCTTTGAGATAAATACACACACACACACACACACACACACACACACACACACACAAATAATGTGACAGTGCTTTCCAAAAAGTCTTGGAATATTTTGCTTATTTTGGTATTAAGGAGTATGTTCTTACTAGAGACTATTTTTTTGAAATGTTAATAATATAGGCTTTATTTCAGAAGGTATTTTCATCCACCCATGTATCTACTCACTTATCTACTCATCCATTCATTTATTCACAAACATTTTCTGAATGCCTGACAAATACTTCATACATAATACAAAGATGCTGCTTGCAGGAAGTTTATCATTTACTAGAGGAGATAAGATATAATAATAAGCAAGAATAATACACAATAAAGTGTGACATTCTTATTTCCTCCTAGAAGCAGAGCCCATGTGGAACACCTGTTTGCCCTTTCAATTGCTAACTAATTTTCTGCATGCATTGTCTCCTGTGTTCAGTTGCACAACTTATATTCACTCAGAATGAAGTTGCTGTTTTTCCTTTCATGTTCTCTGGGGTTCAGTATCTCTCTCTGATGTACATACACAATCCCAATAATATTTATGAGAGTTATGAGCGCCAGCAGGAGGTTCTGCCCCTGAAGCTGTTGGAAGGCATTTGAACAGCTTTTCAGTGAAGATTAATGGTTACAGAAAAGAAAAAAAAAACTTGATTTGTCAGGTGGAAGTTAACTTGAAGGGATATAACAGAAAAAAGCCAGTGAGGACACTTCTCAAGCGAGGTGTGTTTGAGGAGTTTATGTTAAAACTGAAGCTTTGATGAATTGCATGGATAATGCTACTGACAGGAAGATGTCAAAGTTTGTGAATAACAACAGAGAAAATAATAAGAGTTACTATTCTAGAATGTCAAGGCACACCAACAATTTGTTTGTCCAAGAGAATAGTAAGCAAATGCATTTTCCTGGATTAAATTCACTTGCCAAGATAGATATAAAACTGTCCCAAGTGGAAATGTGTTGCTATAAAGAAGATGCAGATTAAACTTTTAATAAGGATTCAGGCTTTCAACCTTCCTGTGAACATAAGATCCTGCAATTAAACAGAATTTCACTCTTTCTGTCTTTTTGATCTTCCCATCTCTTTAAGTTGTGAATGTAAATGGAAAAACAATTAGAATGAAGAATGAAATTAAGTAGAGCTTCAGTCCTAGAATTTTAGTTATTCTCCAAATACATACTGTATTTTGATCATTCCTCAAAACATTATTCAGACAAATTTCACCATTTGATTTCCTTGGAATCTTGCATCTTCTTATTGTGGCTAAGAAGCTTATGCTTCCTTAGACATAAGCTTCTGACAAGGCCTTCTGTAAACTTTGATTCAAAAAACAATTCAGTGCTACACCTAAGGGTCCCTCATTTTCTCACTAATTTTAGTCATCTGGGACCTCAGACATTCTGCTTAATTCTACGCTGTAGAATGCTTCAAGGAAGAACCAGGCGGAGTGACATCATCTTTACAATTAAAACAGAGTACTCTATCACTCCTCCAGCTATCAATATAGTCTACCTAAGAAAGGTTATCACCTGAGCCAGGATCTGTAGCCACTTGAGACAGGTCCTCATCCTTTCAGAACAAGCTACTCTGGAGGGAGAGCAGTGTTCTGGAGGGAGAGCAGTGCCAATATGGATCTGAGCAGATGGTTCCCCTGCCTCTCAGAGATGGTCTGGTTTTTGTGATTTTGACAGATCTTTAAAAAAATTCTTAAACAATTCTCTCTGACTAATACATTTGAAAAGCAATTATTTCTACAGGCTATGAATCTATATGTTCTCATGAACTGTATTGAGGTTTATATATTTAAGGGCAGAAATAAATACTAGGTAGGCTTAGAAAATTGTCTAACATTAGAAACTAACTGCACACAAGGATTTAATGATATTTTTCAGGTTTTGGGTTTGGGCAAAAAGCTCTGAGTGATTGTAACACCCTATATATTTCAACAAGAATTTGCTGTGAAATCTAGGAGGACTAGGAATTTCTCTCTAAGCATAATAGTTAAGTAATCAAAACAACAGCTGATATGTACTACTACTAATATGGTACTATTTTCATTTAACTTTTACAATAACTCTAGAGGTTAAGTATTATTTTCCTAACACACATTGTATAGGGTTACAAAAGGTTAAGTGATTTGTGAAGTCACATGGATTTTAATTATTCAGTAGAAATTCAAATCCATACTTTTAGGCCCTTAACTATTTTATATTGCCTCCTCAGTGCTGCTAATTCAGTGTTGAAACTTAAAGAAAAATGTATCATCTTAGACTCTCATTAAATATCTTTTAATATCTAGATTTTGCTATTTGTTTCTTGAACAATAGCCCAAGGTAGGATTATTCACACACAAATAATTTTGGATATTGGGGGCATTTGCAGAAAGTGCCAGGCACGCATTGCTTAGGGTACAAATATTTTTTTCTTTTGTTCTTGGAGTAATTTATGCCCTAATGTTGTGTATAAGGAGACTTCAAAAAGTTCATAGAAAACTAGAATTAAAAGATAAAAATAAAAGCCTAAACTTTATTTCTGAACATAGCTCTGTCAAATTCAAGACACTTTTATTAGTGATAATACCAGCTGTTTAGTCCATCCCCCAAAAGAACTGAAAGTGCTGGGAATTTAATCGTGCCAATGCAGTCTTTTTTACATTATTAACTGCAGAAAAATTGGCATCGTTTACGATTAGAAAACAAAAAGAAGTCAGAGGGAGCCAAACCAGGACTATAAATTGCAAAATTGCCCTTGTTTGATGAGAAGGATGAGCGGGAGCATTGGCATGGTGGAGAATGACTCTCGGTGAAGCTTTCCCAGGCATTTTTCTGCTAAAGATTTGGCTTTCTCAAAACACTTTCATAATAAACAGATGTTATCTTTCTTTGGCCCTGCAGAAAAAGTCAACAGCAAAATGCCTTGAGGATCCCTAGAAACTGTTGACATGACCTTTGCTTTTGATTGGTCTGCTTTTGCTTTGACTGAACCACTTCCACTTCTGGTAGCCAATGCTTTGTATTTCATCTTCAAGATCATATCAGTAAAGCCATGTTTCACTTGCTGATACAATTCTTTGAGAAAATAGTACAGGATCTTGATCCCACCTGTTTAAAATGTCCACTGACAGCTCTACTTTTGTCTGCAGCTGATCTAGGCACAATGGTTTTGGCACTCATTGAGTGGAAAGTTTGCTCAACTTCAGAATTGTGTGAGCTGAACCAGTTGAGCTGTCTATGGCGTTGGCTGTTATGTGTGCTGTTAATTATTTGTCCTCTTCAGTTAGGGCACAAATAGATTAATCTTTTCCTTCCAGATTTATGTGGTTGGTCTGCTGCTATGAGTGTCATTGTCAACATTGTTTCATCTCCTCTTAAAATGAGTTATCCATTTGTAAACTTCTTTGAGGGACTTTTCACCATAAGCTTTTCATACAGCATCAATGATTTCATCACTCTTTCACCCAAACATTACTAGAAATTTGGTGTTTGTTCTTGCTTCAATTTTAGCAGAATTTATACTGCTCTGATAGGGGCTCTTTTCAAACTGATGTCTTATCCTTCTTACAAAGTACTAATCAGGACCATCCCTGCTTAGCTTCTGAGGCCAGACAAGGATTGGGCACATTCAAGCTGGTATGGCTGTAGACTGTCTTATTCTTCTTAGTGCCTCAAACTAGATCCTGTTCAGATATGTTATATATAACAAGTTAGTATGAGTTTATTTTGGTGCAAAAAATTTGAAATACACTTGTAGTTTTTCCATAATTTGCATTTGCCATGAACCTTTTGAAGACTCCTCGTGTGTGTGTTTGTGTGTGTGTGTGTGTGTGTGTGTGTGTGTGTGTAAAACTGAGGGCATATTAAAAAGCAGTTAAAATCCTGGCAGTAAAATTCATGGCAAATAGTAGACCAAAGGGTTGTAATGTTGTAATGGGGGTAAATTAACTGCAAAATGAGAGAACAAGAGAGCTTAATTTTGCATTTGGCAGTGTTTTCAATTCCTTTTTATTCAATTTAGATTTCCTCTATGTTTTAAATGTTTTTGGCCACATTTACTGCTCTATAGTTAAGAGGCTTGCTGATTTTAGCTTCATGGCTTTCCTTGACTTACACCAGAATTTTGTAGTTAAATTCCTATGGTGCATTGAAATTTTAGGTATTAATATACCTGCATTATTTCTAAATTAAATACATTTTTCCTGATCTTAGAAGGCTTACAAAAAAGTTAGTGCCTTGTACTGGAAAATGCTCAGCAAATCTTCCTAAACCTGTGTAAAGGCTGCCTCTGAAGAGCAGAAAGTGCCCCACTGGGTCATATTTGAATTTGCCATCCATGTACTCATTGCGAGGTTTGGATCTAGCTCAGGATTGTTAAGATTCTTTTCCTTGGCTGTCACGAAATGTTGGTTAAAGTTCTGTTTGGCTTCCACTGGTTGGCCAGCTTTTGGAAGTGGTATGCCTGCTCTTCATCTGTGGGATGACATTTAAAATATTATATACCAGAAGTACATTTTAATATCTAGAAGATATTTTTGAGGAAGAAGGCCTTCTCAGCTGGGCTATACTACTACTTGCTATAACTCAAGTTTGTTTTCTTCTCAGGCAGTTGCCTCCCCTTTTGTAAGACACACTCATTTTACATACTTATTTTTAACATCATAAATTATATTTATTCACTGTTTGTTCTACTATGCTGCATTTATTGAGGCCATAGCCCAAGATCTGACCATTGTAGGTAAACAACAAATATAAACTGAATGCCAGAAATAGTGAAAAAGCCTAGCGTTGGCAAGGATGTAAAAAAAGTGAATGCTTTCATACTGTTCTGGTAGGAATGTATTTGGCATAAACTTTATAGAGGGAAACTGGCAAGGTGTGACAAAGTCTTTAACAGGTTCCTTTGAAACTTTAGGGATCTGTCTTATAAAAAAAATCAGATATTTAATCAAAGATTTTTGTAAAAGACATTTATCACAATATTATTTATAATAGTTAAAAAGTAACAGCAACCAAAATATCTAATAATATACTAACATGCAGTCATTTAAAAAGACATTTGGGGAGATATTTCATAGAAGCTTAATGATGTTGTTAAAATTAAAAATGTGTATAATTTAGGGCGATCATCATGGCAGATGGGAGGCAGGACTAGATTGCAGCTCCAGACAGAGCAGCTTGCGGAAGCTCACATTGTGAATTTTAGCTCCAGTTCAACTGCAAGAACAAACCAGCAATCCCAAGAGAACCCACAGACCCTCTGAAAGAAGTGGACTGCTCCTGCAGGACCTGGGAGACACTCCAAATACTGTGAGTGCCCCGACTGCAGAAGTGGGAAAAGGAGACCCTCCTCTCCTGAACACACATCCCCAACTGGAGAACCTGAAGGTCTGTTTGCAGAAGTTTCCAACTACCTGGAGCTGAGTCAATTTGGAGAGCTGAGTGAAATACAAGGTTAGAGGAAGCAGCAGAAAGGCCCTGGGACCTTGCTTGTCCCCTAGCAGGCCATTCCTGCCTGGCACCACAGGAATCCATTGGGAGGGAGACCAGAGGAGCAGGGGGTAAAATTCCACAGGGAGAAGGCAATCTCTAGCTGAACTTTGTAACAATTTGAACAGGATGAGAAGCCTCCTGGCCAGAACCTGGGGGAGGGCACAAATCTGGTTTGCAGACTCCACAGGTGGGGGAAGAACCAAGCCCTTTTCTCTCTCAGTTGCGAGGCGGGTAGCCTGGGGCAAGTTTTCAAGCCCATCACACCCTTCACCTGGAAACAGACTCGGGACTATTGGGGTGGGGCCATGGTGGGAGAGTGACTGACCCTTCAGTTTGCATGGGAGCTGGGTGAGGCCTGTGACTGCTGGCTTTCCCCGACTTCCCTGACCACCTGCATGACTCAGAAAAGGTAGCCATAATCCTTGTAGGTACACAACTCCATTGACCTGGGAATCTCACCCCCATGCCCCACAGCAGCCCCAGCAGGACCCACTCAAGGAGAGTCTGAGCTCAGACATGCCTAGCCCTGCCCCCACCTGATGGTCCTTCCCTACCCACCCTGGTAATGGAAGACAAAGGGCATATAATCTTGGGAGTTCTAGGGCCCTGCTCACTGCCTGTCCCGCTCCATACTACTATAGCTGATGCTTTCTGGAAAGTGCCACCTCCTGGCAGGAGGCCAACCAGCACAAAAATAGAGCACTAAACCACCAAAGCTAAGAACCCTCACAGAGTCCATTGAACCCACCTCACCACCTCCACTGGAACAGCAGCTGGTATCCATGACTGAGAGACCCATAGATGGTGGTTGGTGCAGACAACCCCCAATACCAGCTTGGAGCCGGGTAGACTTGCTGGGTGGCTAGTCCCAGAAGAGAGACAATAATCACAGCAGTTTGGCTCACAGGAAGCCACAACCATAGGAAAAAGGGGAGTACTACATCAAGAGAACACCCCATGGAACAAAAGAATCTGAACAACAGCTTTCAGCCCTAGACCTTCCCTCTGACAGAGCCTACCCAAATGAGAAGTCACCAGAAAATCAACCCTGTTAATATGACAGAGCAAGGCTCTTCAACACTGCCAAAAAATAACACTAGTTCACCAGCAATGGATCCAAACCAAGAAGAAATCCCTGATTTACCTGAAAAAGAATTCAGGAGGTTAGTTACTAGGCTAATCAGGGAGGGACCAGAGAAAGGCAAAGCCCAATGCAAGGAGATTCAAAAACATGATACAAGAAGTGAAGGGAGAAATATTCAAGTAAATAGCTTAAAGAGAAAACAATAAAAAAATTCAGGAAACTTTGGACACACTTTTAGAAATTTGAAATGCTCTGGAAAGTCTCAGAAATAGAATTAAACAAGTAGAAGAAAGAAATTCAGAGCTCAAAGACAAGGTCTTCGAATTAACCTGATCCAACAAAGACAAAGAAAAAAGAATAAGAAAATATGAACCAAGTCTCCAAGAAGTCTGGGATTATGTTAAATGACCAAACTTAAGAATAGTCAGTGTTGCTGAGGAAGAAGAGAATTCTAAAAGCTTGGAAAACATATTCTGGGGAATAATTGAGGAAAACTTCCTGGCCTTGCTAGAGACCCAGATATCAATACACAAGAAGATCAGAGAACACCTGAAAAATTCATCACAAAAAGATCTTCGCCTAGGCACATTGTCATCAGGTTATCCAAAGTTAAGGCGAAGGAAAGAATCTGAAGAGGTATGAGACAGAAGCATCAGGTAACCCATAAAGGAAAAGCTATCAGATTAACAGCAGATTTCTCAGCAGAAACCCTACAAGCTAGAAGGAATTGGGACCCTATCTTCAGTCTTCTCAAACAAAACAATTATCAGCCAAGAAGTTTGTATCCAGTGAAACTAAGCATTATATATCAAGGAAAGATATAGTCATTTTCAGAAAACAAATGCTGAGAGAATTCGCTATTACCAATCCACCACTACAAGAACTGCTAAAAGGAGCTCTAAATCTTGAAACAAATTCTAGAAATACATCAAAACAGAACCTCTTTAAAGCATAAATCACACAGGAGCTATAAAACGAAAATACATGTTAAAAAGCAAAAACAAACAAACAAAAATCCCAAAGGTAACAAAGAGCATGATGAATGCAACAGTACCTCATATTTCAACACTAACATTGAATGCAAATGGCCTAAATGCTCCACTTAAAAGATACAGAACTGCAGAATGGATAAGAACTCATCAATACCAACTATCTGCTGTCTTCAGTAGACTCATCTAACACATAAGGACTCATATAAACTTAAAGTAAAGGGGAGGAGAAAGGCATTTCATGCAAATAGACGCCAAAAGTGAGCTGGGATAGCTACTCTTATATCAGACAAAACAAACTTTAAAGCAACAGCAGTTAAAAGAGTCATAGAAGGACATTATATAGTGGTAAAAGGCCTTGTCCAACAGGAAAATATCACAATCCTAAACATATATGCACCTAACACTGGAGCTCCCACATTTATAAAACAATTACTAATAGACCTAAGAAATGAGATAGAAAGCAACCGAATAATAGTGGGGGACTTCAATACTCCACTAACAGCACTAGCCAGTTTATCAAGACAGAAAGTTAACAAAGAAACAATGGATTTAAACTATACTTTGGAACAAATGGACTTAATAGATATATACAGAACACTTCATACAAGAGCCACAGAATACACATTCTATTCAACAGTGCATGAAACTTTCTCCATGATAGACCATATGATAGGCCATATAATGAGCCTCAATAAATTTAAGACAATTGAAATTATATCAAGCACTCTCTCAGACCACGGTGGAATAGAACTGGAAATCAACTCCAAAAGGAAGCTTCAGAACCATGCAAATACGTGGAAATTAAATAACCTGCTCCTGAATGAATATTGCATCAGAAATGAAATCAAGATGATAATTAAAAAATTCTTCAAAGTAAATGACAATGACACAACCTATCAAAACCTCTGGGATACAACAAAGGCAGTGGTAAGAGGAAAGTTTATAGCCCTAAGCTTAGTGCACAAACTGACATTGTAAGGTCATAACTCAAGGAACTAGAGAAACAAGAACAAACCAAACCCAAATCCAGCAGAAGAAAGGAAGTTACCAAGATCAGAGCAGAGCTAAATGAAATTTAAACAACAACAAAAAAATACAAAAGATAGATGAAACAAAAAGTTAGTCCTTTGAAAAGATAAATAAAATTGATAGACCATCAGCAAGATTAACCAAGAAAAGAAGAGAGAAAATCCAAATAACCTCACTAAGAAAGGAAATAGGACATATTACAACTGACACCACTGAAATACAAAAGTTCATTCAGGGCTACTATGAACACCTTTACACACATAAACTAGAAAATCTAGAAGAGATGGATACATTCCTGGAAAAATATAACCCTCCTAGCTTAACTCAGGAAGAATTAGATGCCCTGAACAGACCAATAACAAGTAGCGAGATTGAAATGGTAATTAAAAAATTACCAACAAAAAAAGTCCAGGACTGGATGGATTCAGAGAATTCTAACAGACATTCAAAGAAGAATTGGTACCAATCCTTTTGACACTATTCTACAAGATAAAGAAAGAAGGAACCCTCCCTAATTCATTCTATGAAGCCAGCATCACCCTAATACCAAAACCAGGGAAGGACATGACCAAAAAAGAAAACTATACACTGATATCCTTGATGAACATTGATGCGAAAATCCTTAACAAAATACTAGCTAACTGAATCCAACTGCATATCAAAACGATAATTCACCATGATCAAGTGGGTTTCATACCAGGGATGCAGGGATGCTTTAACATACACAAGTCAATAAATGTGATACACCACATAAACAGAAATAAAAACAAAAATCTCACAATCATCTCAATAGATGTTGAAAAAGCATTCAACAAAATCCAGCATCCCTTTATGATTAAAACTCTCAGAAAAATCGGCATACAAGGGACATACCTCAATGTAATAAAAGCCATCTATGACAAACCCACAGCCAACATAATACTGAATGGGGAAAAGTCGAAAGCATTCCCTCTGAGAACTGAAACAAGACAAGAATGCCCACTCTCACCACTCCTCTTCGACATAGTACTGGAAGTCCTAGCCACAGCAATCAGACAAGAGGAAGAAATAAAGGGCATCCAAATCAGTAAAGAGGAAGTCAGACTGTCAGTGTTTGCTGACGATATGATCGTTTATTTGAAAACCCTAAGGACTCCTCCAGAAAGCTCCGAGAACTGATAAAAGAATTCAGCAAAGTTTCCAGATACAAGATTAATGTACACAAATCCGTAGCTCTTCTATACACCAACAACAACGAAGCAGAGAATGAAATCAAGAACTCAACCACTTTTACAATAGCTTCAAGAAAAAAAAATACATAAGAATATAGCTAAGAAAGGAATTGAATGACCTCTACAAGGAAAACTACAAAACACTGCTGAAAGAAATCATAGACAACACAAACAAATGGAAACACATCCCATGCTCATGGATGGGTAGAATCAATATTGTGAAAATGACCATACTGCCAAAAGCAATCTACAAATTCAGTGCAATCCCTATCAAAATACCACCATCATTCATCTTTAGAATTCGAAAAAAAATTATAAAATTCATATGGAACCAAAAAAAGAGCCTGCATAGCCTAATCAAAAAGAAGCAAGACTAATCAAAAAGAGCAAATCTGGAAACATCACACTACCTGATTTCAAACTGTACTATAAGGCCATAGTCACCAAAACAGCATGGTACTGCTATACAAATAGGCACATAGACCAATGGAATAGAATAGAGAACCCAGAAATAAACTCAAATACAACCAACTGATCTTAGACAAATCAAACAAAAACATAAAGTGGGAAAAAGACACCCTTTTCAACAAACGGTGCTGGGATAATTGGCTAGCCACATGTAGGAGAATGAAACTGGATCCTCATCTCTCACCTTATACAAAAATCAACGCAAGATGGATTAAGGACTTAAACCTAAGACCTGAAACTATAAAATTCTAGAAGATAACTTTGGAAAAACCCTTCTAGTCATTGGCTTAGGCAAGGATTTCATGACCAAGAACCCAAAAGCAAATGTGATAAAAACAAAGATAAATAGCCGGGACCTAATTAAACTAAAGAGCTTTTGCATGGCAAAAGGAACAGTCAGCATAGTAAACAGACAACCCATAGAGTGGGAGAAAATCTTCACAATCTATACATCTGGCAAAGGACTAATATCCAGAATCTACAACAAACTCAAACAAATCAGTAAGAAAGAAACAATCCCATCAAAAAGTGGGCTAAGGATATGAATAGACAATTCTCAAAAGAAGATATACAAATGGCCAACAAACACATGAAAAAATGTTCAACATCACTAATCATCAGGGAAATGCAAATCAACACCGCAATGCAATACCATCTTACTCCTGCAAGAATGGCCATAATAAAAAAATCAAAAAACAGTAGATGTTGGCATGGATGTGGTGAACAGGGAACACTTCTACACTGCTAGTGGGAATGTAAGCTAGTAGAGCCACTATGGAAAACGTGTGGAGATTCCTTAAAGAACTAAAAGTAGAACTACCATTTGATCCAGCAGTCTCACTACTGGGTATTTACGCAGTCTACCAAGAGGAAAAGAAGTCATTATTCAAAAAAGATACTTGCACACTCATGGTTTATAGCAGCACAATTCACAATAGCAAAATCGTGGAAGCACCCCATTAATCAATGAGTGGATAAAGAAACTGTCATACATATATATATATACACGTATATATATGTATATATATATACGTGTATATATATATACATATATATGTGTATATATATACACATATATATGTGTATATATATGTGTGTATATATATACACATATATGTATATATACATGTGTATATATATGTGTATATATGTGTATATATATATGTATATATACACATATATACATACACATATATATATTTATATATATAAAATGGCATACTACTCAGCCATAAAAAGGAATGAATTAACAGCATTTGCAGTGTCCTGGATGAGACTGGAGACTATTATTCTAAGTGAAGTAACTCAGGAATGGAAAACCAAACAATCGTCTGTTCTCACTGATATGTGGGAGCTAAGCTATGAGGATGCAAAGGCATAAGAATGATACAATGGACTTTGGGGACTTGTGAGGAAGAGTGAGGGGGCGAGGGATAAAAGACCACAAATATGGTGCAGTGTGTACTTCTCGGGTGATGGATGCACCAAAATCCACAAATCACCACCAAATAACTTACTCATGCCACCAAATACCACCTGTACTCCAATAACTTATGGAAAAAATATGTGTATAATTTAATAATTTTGAATTTATAGAAAAACTACATATATATGTATATCATTTGAAGAAAATTGGGAATAAATATAGCCAAATGGTTAGAGAGGTTATCTATGGGTGATAATAATATGTGTGATTTTGATGGACTTTTTTTCTATGCTCACTTTTTTCCTCCAAAATTGTTTGCAATGAGTATATAATATTTTATGATTAGTTAAATGTATTATATTTAAAATAACTTTATGAGAATAGCTATTTAATTTATTTAATATTTCTTCTGGGCTCGATAAACTTTGAATAATGATATGTATAATTTAGAAAGCAAGGTTAGAATTTGAAAATTGTTTTGGACTATTTGTTGGTCATTCAGTAATAGAATATCCAACAGAACAAATGTTTCTCAAAAACCTTAATAAAATCCAGGCTTCTTTCATGTTGTCTCTTTCAGCAGTGTAAAATAATTATATTTACGGTTACGAACAATTCTTTCATTTAAATGTCAATCAGCTCTATATTCTTACATTAATAAAAGTCTTCAAAGTGAAAAGAGGTTGGTCCAACCAAATCATGCATCATACTGACATTGATCCTGCAGGTGCTGAATACTCAGCTCTATCCGACTCTGGTAGCTTTCATGAAGAGAAGGTATATTTCTGGAAATACACATTCGTTGAAGAAAATGTAGTATTTTTAGACATGCCCCATAGTCTATGTGGATGACATTTTCTAATGCTGTCAGTGTATAAACTGTACAAACATACACAGCAGTCCTGAATGCTAAGTGATCGTGTTGTCAAACTGAAATTGCCAACACAGTTAAGATAATGAGCACAGGTTTTGAAAAAGAAACATGCATAACTGAGAATGGCTACAGATGAAAATGGCTTAGATTCTCAAAGATGGCGTCACTTAAATTTTGGTTTGATACTGAAGAATAGAGTGATGTATAATTGTATGAATACATATTGCTCTAAAACATTAGCATTTTAAAAATTTGCATTACATTCACTGTTTCTACGTTCATATATGATTGGCTGCATATTAGATGAAGAATACAGTGAAAGCTGGCATTTAATCCTTGCAGTACTATTTCCTCATTTTGCAAGTGAGTAAACTGAACCTCAGAAATGTTGATTAACTTGCTGAAGGTCACACAGCTCTTATGTGATAAAGCCAAGATTCAAATTAAGCTTGACATACAAGCTATCAGGCTTAACCTATATATCATCTCACCCTTTTGAGGAAACTTGACTCAAAGGCACAGAATAGCTTCTTCCACCTGCACAAGGAGAGCTAGTTCCTCATTGATAAGCTCAAGTCTAAGGTAGGCAAAAGGGCAAGACCTTGGGGAAAAAAAGCAATGACACTAACTTTGATTCTGCCCCTGTGGCTATAAGAAATTTTCTAAGGCTAAGTAGGATCAGATTTTCTGGTTTGGTTGAAGCAGTAGAGACAAGTGTGGTAGAAGAAAAGGTAGCATCCTTTATTTCTGTTTGGAGCCTGGCCTTCCAGATAGGGCCTTCCCACTGATAAAGGGAGAGCTGTCCAAGTCATTAAGGCTTCATCTAGGAAAAGAATTATCCTGCATTTTGGAATTAGTTGCATGTTCTTTGGGTTGGTGGTACAGAACTAGTTGGACCCATAATTAGTGTACTGGGGACACAGAGTTCTCTTGGCAACAATTGAAAACATATGAAAACCTTGCAACTTCTCTGTTCTCATGTTCATCTGCAAGTGTGATGGACACACTGTAATCTTATAGCCTGTGAAGGAGAACCTTGTACATGCCTTTTCTCCTAAACATTATTCCCTTGCTTGCTTCCTGCTATTTTTCTGCCAACATTACTTGCCGTGAATTATCTGCTGGCTTTCTGCCTTCTGCCTGCTAGTGCCAGGTGTTGTGCACACATGGGGGTCTGCACTTGCTGCAGTGAAAGGCTAAGGTGCTCATCTGCACAGCTGGCTACAGGGAGATCTCCAGAGAAACACAGACCAAGAAGAAAGCTTGCCAGGGATCCTTAATGCAGCCAGGCTGGGTGCCCTGGCCAGAGCCTGGGGCCTGTGTTGATCTCACTTAAGGGATACAAATCCAATGAAAAGAGGTGTTGGTACTCCTTTTTCTTTTTTCTTACAAATAGATTAATTAATGGAGCATGAAGCACGCTGACTAAAAATTACCTTTGAATGATAATGGGAGTTTTTTTCTTCTTAATTTGTGAAGCCTTTGTTTCTAGAAATAAGGCATGTTTTATTGTTGTTAATGCTTAAAAACAGCTGAGTAAGAACCTGCATTGTTTCGTGTTTATTAAAAAAAACTTTCCTTGGCAATGATCAATTTGAGTATGACCACAATGGTGCACAGAAAAATTAACTCATATTTTGCCTTGAAGGAGCTCCAACACATAGGTTCTACCATACTATGTGATTTTTATTGATAAGAAAGATAAAAATGTTATAATAATTTATTTGTGGATTATTGCTTGGTTGATAGAAAACTATCTTGCAGGTGTTTTTAAAAATAATGTATTCAGGGGGAAAGTTAAGCTGTTGTACACTATCTACTAATAGGAAAATGGATGATAGATTAAACAAGAGTTACTTCTCAGGGTACCTATTAAATATTTATGCAGGACACAGCAAATAAG